>NC_000012.12:29527772-29680467 GCF_000001405.40 Homo sapiens | reverse complement strand
CTTTATTAATTCTTTTCTAACTCTCCCTCTGAGCCACCACACCCAGCCTCATCTTATTTATTTTCTACCTCCGACCTGGAAACAGCCATTTGTTCAAGAGCTTTTGGTTCTTTTTCTTTGGAAATAATTTTAGGACCCAAATCAGGGCATTGTGGTGCTCATTCCTACTGGATAGCTCACTGTTTCTAGGCTTTTTCAGTGGAGACTTCTGTCAAAATCAATTATCTTTTAAAATATGAAAATAGATAACGAGCTCAGTCTGATGTTTTCTATTCAAATTCAGAGCTATAGGGATTTTGCTTAATCTCATTGATGGTACATTTCTGTCTCCCTTGCTGCCACTGAAAACTCTGGTTCCTAACGACACCAGCGTAATTACTTATTTGCTTTATTCCACATTACTCCCAGAAGTCTCAAAATAACAATGCCATCATTACCAGAAACAAAGTGATTATTAAAAATAGTGTGTGGGGTTTTTAATAATTCTTTTTGTTTTTAAGTTATATAGTACTAGGTATATATGGTCAAATTATTGAGATTTAAACCTACTTTATATAGTTTATGATTATGGATCATTTGTTTCATGTTTTTTTCTTTTATTTCATAATAATGTAAACACTGCTTCTAAATCTACAAAACAGGGTACAGTAAAGAGGTCTCTCTAGTCCTGAGGTCTCTCTAGTCCTCTCTATCCTGTTTCATCCCTCTACTTATAGGTTACCCTTTCTTCTTTTTCTCCTTCTTTTCCTCTTTCTTTTTTTATTCTTCTCTTCTTCAGTTTGGTTTAGCTTTAATTTAATGTATATAGCCTCCTACTTAGATAAATGATAGCATGTTGTACACATTTTTCCTTTATCTGCGATCACTCCATAGCAGTATATTAGCATCATCACTATGAATGTTGGTTATAGAGGAATGCTATTAGAATAGCCCATTCCATAAAGGTTTCTGAGCTGGCCTAACATATTTTTGTCTGGTCCTTGATCTTTAGTTCTTATATCTGATTTTAGAGATTCTGTCTTTCCTTATTTTTAATTTGTAAGAAATTTTACAAAATAATAGCGTTTACTGACTTTTGTTCTGACTATAGAAGTATTTCATGTTAATTACTAAAAATTCAGAACTACAGAAAATTATAAAATAAAGATTAAAATACATGAATCATATCAATACCCAGGGGAAACCTCTATTATTGTTTTGCTGCATAGCTCACTAATCTGTTGTTGTACATATATACATTTTAGCAACTGGATGAATATTGAATGTGTTGCTTTGTCATGTATTCTTTTATTTTTTGTTAGTAATATATAATGAGTGTTCCTGCATGTCTTTATTCTTCTAAAGATAATTTTAAAATCATTGAATGATATTGCACTGCATGGTTGTATGAAAATTTATTTAGCTATTCACCTATATTAGATATTTAGGTTGTATCCAGGTTTTTTATTAATAAATATTATGGACATAACTCTTTCTGTGCATTTCGGATTTGAGTGTGATTGCTAATGGTTGGAGAAATGTTTTAGGTTTTGATGTATGTTGCCAAATTGTTATTCAGACAAAATTCTACAGTTGTACAAATTTTTACTCCCATGGGAAGTCCATGATTTTTTTTTCCATTTCATGGTAGCCATATTCACATTGTGTTCTGTTATAGTTTTTTTAATGTAGTGTTTGTAAATACTGAGACACTAATGTTGCTTACCTAAGTTCTTTAGAGCATCTCACATTTGTTTCCAAAAGATGAATTTATAGATTTCTCCTTGCTTTTTGATGCTACTTCTCATTACTATTGGCATCTCCACTAGTTAAGATAACCATAGCCATGAACAGTGGCTCACACACAGTAGAAGCTTATTTCTTGTTCACATCAAGTCTGAAACAAATGTCCCTGATTAGTGGCACCTCATCTCTACACTATGATTCGGAAACCCACTGTCCCTCAATCTTGTGGCTCTGCATCTTCAAACAATGGCTGGAGGTCACCATGCTTGTCTTCATCAAGTAGGAAGAGAATGTTTGGGTGTTTAAATGTTATGGGAAGATTTTAGGGGCCAGACCTGGAATTGTTGCCTGTCACGTCCACTTACCTTCCTTTGGCTAGAATTCAGTCACATGGCCATCTCTAACTGTAAGCAAAGCAGAGAAGTTGTGTGCTCAGGAAGAAGAAGTAATATCTGGAGAACTATAAGCCAATCTCAGCCACCGTATAGCAGCACTTCTCTATGGTTTTATTTTGTTTTAGAAATGAAAGTCAGAAAATTGTGAGTTTGAAATATTAGTTTTGATTGCTCAGAAGTGACTTTTGTTCATCTCTGATTCTTGTATGTATCACCAACAGATGAAGTTGTTCAGTAAATGAGTTTCAGAATGTTGCAGAAATATTAGTTTATTAAATTTCTAAAATAAATTACTTCCCTGTTATCTGTGGGGGATACGTATCAAGAACTCCAGTGAATGCCGGAAACCATGGATAGTACCAAATCCTAGACATACTATTGCTACGTTTTTTCCTATATATACATACCTGTGATGAAGTTTAATTTATAAATTAGGTACAGTAAGAGATTAACAACAATAACATAATAAAATAGAGCAATTATAGCCATATGGCAGCATCGCTGCTTTTGCATGTGTGGGGCATTATTAAGTAAAATAAGGGTTCCTTGAGTACAAGCACTGTGATGCTGCGGCAGTCGATCTGATAACTGAGCTGGCTGCTACATCACTAATGGGTGAACAGAGTGGATATGCCGGACACAGGGAGGATTCACTTCCCAAGTGGGACCAAGTGGGATAATGTGAGATTTCATTATGCTACTCGGAACAACTTAAAAGGCATGTGATTTAAAACTTATGAATTTTTTCTTTCTGGAATTTTCCATTTCCTATTTTTGGACGGCAATTGACTGCAGGTAACTGAAACTGCAGATAAAGGGGGCTACCGCGGTATAACGATGGAATAGTTGTCTTTTGTAAATGAAGAAATTAAATCATTTAGTTGTCTGAGAATGGCTCATACAGTAGGATTAATTCATTTATCTTGTTTGGGTTGCTTGTGCTTCTATGCATATTTTATGGCACATATTTTATGTATGGAAATAACTGCAGGATGTGCTTATTAGTGAGTAGGCCCATTGGTCCTGTTAAGATGTGGTAAGAACAAAAACAAATAAACAACAACAAAAAAATCACAAGGTACTAAACAGACATGCAGATAAAGGGTTATTCATGCTGCAAATCTGATTTTATTTTTATTTGTAATAACCTTGATCCTGAAACCCATTACATTGACTAGATAAAGAAGAGAAACAGCAAAATTAGAGGCCAGTGAATTTATTTATGCTGTTTTCTTGAAGGTGGAACTGAAAATCCTAATGGCTTAAAATGATAAATGCTTTTAGGCAGAGGGATATCTGTGTGCCTGTCAGTACTTTCATTTCCACAGAAGGACCAGACTTGGACCTTGTCTGCATCTCCTCTGGAGGGCCTGATGTGAATTGTATTATTTTGGCCCTCAAATCATATTATAGGAGGACAGGATGTTTTTCTTCTTCACACACTGTGGCATGCCAGCCAGCTCTGTCAAGACTTAATGACTCCCCAACTGCCCACACTGATATGGCCTGGCTTCAGGGTTCATTCCAGCATGCCCACAAAATGCTTCATTTGGCTGCACGAGGGCATCATCTTCTATCAGTTTCTCATAGAGTGCTAGTTAGAAAATTGGTGATCAATCATGATTTTTAATCCCCTGCCTAGTGGAATTAGCACCATTTGCCGTGTCCTCACGTCTTGAAGAGAGACTGTGCCCAGTGCATCGCTCCTGGAGGTGACCTTTCGTTTGAAGGCAGAGTGTAGATGGGATCCCTGGAAATCGATCTCTGACTGACTATGGCAGGAATGCAGGCATCAGGTTTCCTACTTGAGCAAAGGATGTATCAAAATATATGCTCTGGAGTTTGATTCTCTCCTGATTAACATCTATTGCTTTTGTCAGTCTGAAGTATTCGCTTAACTTTTACAGTTTGGTTCTTTTGTCAGAGTAAGAGACCACTGAGTGCTGATAATAGTGATAGGACCCAGAAAATTGGAGTCTTCATATTTAAGGAGAGTGGGAATCATTTTGGATAATCTTATAGTCAATAAAGCTTGCATATACAAGGAAAAGGTAGTAAAAGAAAGTTACATAAAATAGGAAAACTCACAAACTTTTAAATTAAGTCCTAACCAATATTTAAAAATTAAAATGGATATCTGACACACGTAGCAGTGTATGAACAGATAAATGTTTCAAAATTACAAGTGTGAGGTTTTGGAATTTTAGTTTTGTTGAATGTTTAGGTTATTTGCAGCTAAGATTATTTAGGCACTATTGTGTCCATCCTTTATAGATATGGTGTGCTTTAAAATGAAAACCATCAAATTCCTTTTAATTAATGGCGTAAGCTTGATTCAATTTCGTTTTTGAAATATCAGCTTCTGTTAGAATCAACCAGGCAGCTTTATCATCCACTAAACAAAGTCATTATAATTCCATTGATTGCACACAGAGGGGGACTCTGTACAGTCTTAATGGTTATTAAACCCTTGTCTCTTCCTTCCCTCCTTTCCATTTTGTTACTTTCATGGAACAATGCTATTAAGAATACCTTATATTGGCTCATCCAAGTTAGATGAAAAGATTTGTCTGACAGCTGGAAAGCGTGGGTGAGAAAATTCTAGTTCTCATGTTTTCAGAATTAACAAGTTGAACCAATTAGTAGATATCTTCCACCAGAGAAACACTCGTTTTTGATTAAACTCTTATTCACAAGAAACAGAAAGTCATGGAGGGTGTGTGTGTGTGTGTGTGTGTGTGTGTGTGTGTGTGTGTGTATTTGCATGTGTGTCCAGGGCACAGAGAAACCACTTTTTTCTTTGACTTTTGCAGAACTACTCCTTAGCAGTTTATTCTACTGTACTGTACCAGCTTACTAGAGGATGGCACACAGGGTGACCAGGTTTTTCCAGGATTGTCCCAGTTTTAGTACTGAAGGTCCTGTGTCCCACGAAGCTCCTTAGTGCCAGGCAAACTGAATGGGTTGGTCACACTGGATGAAAATCCAGCTTCATGTATGAAAATCTCTATGATCTGGAAACTTTAGACTGGAAAACTTTCAGTGGACGTTCAGTTGGACTTGAGTTAAGTTTAGGACAGGAAAATTGTGTTTGTTAAAATAACAGTCTCAAATTGGGCCCTGATGTTTGTGGGGTTTGTAAATGTGGTGTTAAGACTTGTATGGTTAGGATTTTTTTAAACACAGTTTGATGAATTAAATGACTACTGTACAAAGTACCATGCTGAATCTGCAAGGGAAACTTAGCTGAATTAAGACAGAAACCAATGTTATTCTTCATTTTAACATTAAGTTACTTTGCACATGGTCCGGTGACTGGAAATATAGCAACACTGCTGTAATATGTCAGTGAGAAAATGAAATTGGCTGCAAAGAAAATGGAAACATTAGATTAAACAAGCCCCTGTGAAAATCATTAGGACAATGAAGCTGTCTAGTGGGTATTAAGTAATAATCATAGTAGTAGATCAGGGCTGCTGCTGGCCCATTGGGGATCTTTATGCAAAATAGAAAACACTGTGGGCATGAGGCATGGTGGGTGCGTGATGTTTGAGGTGTGGGCACTTCTTGCTCTTTTGAGTAAATTAGGAAAAGGCCCCCCCTTCTTTACGGCAGGTAAAGCCAGTGCCTGGGCACCACAGGTCGTTGAACAGAGCATGGGCTGGATTTGAGCCCTCACAGGCCACCTCCCTCCCTCCTCCTGAGCTGGCTGCCTTGTGCATGGACAACCTTTACAGCTGAACTAAAGGAGTCCCGTCAGCAAGAAGAGTGTTGAATGCTGAATTATAGCTTTGTCTTCTAGGAAAATATTTCGTTCTTTTTTTCTTTTCCTTCCAGGAAGGAGGGAGCTGACAGAACTTGAGAGAGATTAAATCTTTTCCTCTACTAATCCTAGCTGCATTCCTTTACTCATTTGTTTCTGATTGTTTTTTTCTGGTCTTGAAGGATAGGCCATAGGGTTTTAGTATTTTCAGCTGATTTCTGGTTACTATTCTAATAATGCTACTTTGAGCACCTTTATGTGCTGGGCACTGTGGTGAGACACTTGCATATATCATCTCATAGAAATATTTTTGATGACTTTGTAAGGTGGAAATTATCTTGACCTAGGGAGGCTAAAAGGCCTGCGTAGTCTCCTAGCTTATAACTGAATGAGCTGGAATTCAAACCCAGATCTCTGTGACCCCAGGGCCTGTGGTTGCTTCACCACACCAGCTGCCTCTGTGTTGTCAAGAGTACTGTCCTTCGAGAGCATAACATAAAGGGACCCTGAGAAGTCCCTCTGGCAAGGCTGGGCGTGGTGGCTCACACCTGTAATCCCAGCACTTTGGGAGGCCGAGGCTGGCAGATCACCTGAGATTGGGAGTTCGAGACCAGCCTGACCAACCTGGAGAAACCCTGTCTCTACTAGAAATACAAAATTAGCCAGGCATGGTGGTACATGCCTGAAATCCCAGCTACTTGGGAGGCTGAGGCAGGGGAATCGCTTGAACCTGGGAGGCAGAGGTTGTGGTGAGCCGAGATCTCACCATTGCACCCCAGCCTGGGCAGCAAGAGCAAAATTCCATCTCAAAAAAGAAAAAAAAAAAAAAAAAAAAAAAAAGAAGTCCCTCTGGCAGCCATAGCATCTTACACAGAGATAATGAACACTTAGCAAAATGCAATGTTATAAAATTATCTTCTCAATTTTTTTCTTTGGAAACGATAAGTAAAATATAAATAAATATAATTAAATATGTAAATATACATATATGAATAATTGGACAGAGACTGGAATTTCTAGTTCCTTTGGCAACTTTCCTACTTGGGCTTTTTATGTTATGTTTTAAAATGAGTCACTTAGGTCTAGAAGGAAATTAGAAGAATGTTCGAAAAATTATATGAACATAAGAAGCATGCCTTTAAAAATAATCATGTAGACTTAATTATTATGGATTTCTGATTTTCACAATATTGAAAAGCGTTTTACACAAACATTGACATGCTGACAGTTATCTGAATGACAGTTGTTTGCATGCAATGTATGATCTATGCTAAGAGCGGCTGTGATTCTTATTTCTACTCTGAAATCTTAGCTATAGCTTTCTTCTCAGGAGTTTCAAAGCAAGTGAGTATTGGAATTTGAAAATAAAACCAAATTGACTAGAGTTGAAACCTCACATTTTCACTTTTTTCTTAAAGTATAATGTATCTCCCCTCAATGCAAAAAATAGAGTTCCAAGTGAAATAAAACTGAAATCTTCTCAAAGTAAGATTTTTATAAGAAAGTGAATTTATTTTACAGGTGTTTGCCAATATAGTGCAGCAATGACTGGATTCCCCACTTTCTAGCTCTTGTGGCTCTGACAGTCAACCATCCTATCTTAAATTGAAAGGGCATTAGGGGTGGGGGCCAGAAAAGTCAGCTGTTCTCTGGATAGGTTTGTTTGAACCAGGAAAAGTTTTCTTTTTCTCTACATTGTTTACCTCCTTATAACGGGTGTTGCGTTTTATGAGGCCACCTACTTTACTGCAGGCCTTTGTCTGCAGTGCAGCCAAGTGATCTATTTCAGGAGGAGCTGTGGTCTGCAGAAAAGCCCAGGATGCCAAATGTCCTACTTGGCCCCTGAGAGAACTCAGTGTGTACGTGTGTCTGAGAGCTTCTGGATTTATTGTCGTTGTTATTAGAGTTGCTTCAGAGCATGTGAATGAGGATGGGGTGAGAGGAGGGCTATGGAGGGCCCTAGATTGAAAACTAGATTGGAGAAAGTGAATTTGTAGATGTTTAAATGGGACTTTCTCCTCTCTCTGCCCTAAATTGAAGCTGCCTGGATCTGGAGCACAAACCCCAGCCTATGTTCCAGTATAAAGGTGGGATAGAAAGTGAGGTGGGGGAGAGATTCAAATGGACTGACCTGGCCTGCATTCTACATGGATGCAAGAGATGAAGGAGAGACCAAAGCACTGATCTATAATACAAAATGACCCCTCCCACTAGCAATGGACCCCATCAGTGTCCTGGGTACTGACCCTGTGGTTTGAAACTTTTTGGGAGCAAATTAGAGTTGGAAACATGGCAGGGGGCTGTGGAAACATTTTCTTCTGTGTGTACTCCTGCAGGAACTTGATGAGCCCTAAAGACAGGGATGGCACCAGGTAAGCACTGGGCCAGGATGAAGGGACAGTGAACTGCCTGGGTGAAATCATGGATGGCTGAGCCAAGGGAGATGGAGTCACCATCAATCATGTAGGGATGTCATACTGCTGCTCAAGCTTCCAGGGATTGGAACTTCCACTTCACCATTCTTTTATTCAAATTTTAGACACTTGACTTTGAGACACTTTCAGTAGTGCCCCCATATACAGGAGGAGAGGGCTGCCTATACTGTATGTGCAGAGAGCTGTCATTGCTTCGGAGCAGGCTGTGCTCACTCTAGTCCCTGTGCAGCTGCCTGGGGCACCTCTCCCCTTGGCCCCTCTTGCCTACCCAGACTCTTTCATCTTCTCTGTCTCTTCAGGCCTAGGTCTTTCCCGCAGCTTCCCTTCCTTTTCCAGCCCATGTTGATTTCTTTCTTTAGTACTTGATCACATGCACCCCTCCTGGGTAGTGCAGCAAGTGTAAAAAGGGCCCTATGGTGTAGCATTGAGTGTGAACTCAGGACCAGAATGCATACATTCAAATCCCAGTTCTGCTAATGGCTGGCTTTGTGGTCCTGGGCAAGTGAATTCACTTTTTTACACCTCAGTTTCCCCGTCTATAAAATGAGCATAGCAATAGCACCTGCTTTGTAGTTGTCGTTGTTGTATGCACTTAAAGAATTAGCGTGTTTAGAACAGTGTCTGTCGCACAGTATGCACTCAATACATTTTCTCTGTAATTTACAAGTTAAATGTATGCATGTATGCTTTTTCTATATTGCTTCTAAGACTTAACTCGGTGTTCAACATTTTGGTTGTCAAATTGAATATTGCTGTTTCAATAGTTTGACTTTTTTTGTAGTGATAAAGTTGTAGTAGACTTTTTGTTTATTTCTTTTATTTATTTATTTATTTATTTATTTATTTATTTAAGATGGAGTCTCACTCTGTCGCCCAGGCTGGAGTGCAGTGGTGCAATCGCTGCTCACTGCAACCTCCGGAGGCCTCCCAGGTTCAGGTGATTCTCCTGCCTCAGCCTCCTAAGTAGCTGGGATTACAGGCACATGCCACCACACCCAGCTAATTTTATTTTGTATTTTTAGTAGAGATGGGGTTTCACCATGCTGGTCAGGCTGGTCTCACACCCCTGACCTCGTGATCCGCCCACCTCAGCCTCCCAAAGTGCTGGGATTACAGGCGTAAGCCACTGCGCCTGGCTGACTTTTTGATAATTTCTTAAATGGATCAGGTATATCTTGGTATCCTGAATTCCTATCCTTTTTTTTCTTTTTTTTTGAGACAGAGTCTCGTGCTGTGGCCCAGGCTGGAATGCAGTGGCACGATCTCAGCTAGCTCACTGAAACCTCCACCTTCTGGGCTCAAGCAATCCTCCCACCTCAGTTTCCTGAGTAGCTGGGACTACAGGCATGTGCCACCATGCCAGGCTAATTTTTTTGTATTTTTAATACAGATGAGGTTTTGCAGTGTTACTCAGGCTGGTCTGGAACTCCTAAGCTCAAGCAGTCTGCCTGTCTCAGCCTCCCACAGTGCTGGGATCACAGGCATGAGCCACCACACTGACCCTGAATTCATGTCCTTTCAAATGTATGTCACTGATGTGTACAAACATCTGTGAGAATAGTATTTGAATTTCAAGCATCCTCCTGGGACGGTAAAGACAGAGATTTTGTTGGAAATGCCGTGAGAGGTAGCAGAGCTTTTGTGATTAAGGGCACAGACTGAATTTATGACACCCCTGTCTTACTACCTGTGGAACCTTGGGACAAGTTATTTGACCATTAATGCCTCAGTTTCCCCACTTGCAACATTAAGATATTAATAGTGCCCGTCTGACAGGAATGTGCTAAGGATTACAGGCATTAGAACCATGCCTGGGGCACAGTAGGTATTCATTAAATGGTATTTGCTGCTGTCATTAACAGGAAATGTATTTCACTAGTTTACCCAGACAGTCCCAGTATCAAATACTCTTTTTCACTAGCTTAATTATACTTGAATTTATCCATCCATGTATCCCAGTAAAAGGATCAGAAAATATCATTATAGTACTATTGACTGTTTTAATCTTTTTCTTAGTGCAAACGTCTACTTGTGCACTTACACAAATGTGTATTGCAAGTAGCAGTGATTTTATTGCATGGATTATTTAGTCTTTGGTTTGCAACAAACTTGGATGGATGGAAATAACGGAAAACACAGCAAATGTGTGGTCAGAGAGGAGACCAGTGATGCAGCAAAAAGGCATTGAATTGGCCATCAGGAGACTCAATCCTGGTGCTAGACCCACTGCTCCCTAGGTCTAAATCTGTACAATGGGGCCAGTTCTCTCTGTTCTGCCCACTTCATGAATATATCTCAAAGATTAAATGTTAGAATGAATCGAAAAGCTCTTTGACACATAAATGCCATACAAATACATACTATGTATCCTCTTCTAAAGGGAGTTTATTTGGCAAATTAAATATTCTTCTTAGTAGCAAGTTTTTATATATACCAAATTGATGACCAACTAACAAAAGATTATAGTAGAAACATACTTAACACCTAAATCATACTGCTAAGTAAACGTAACACATGCTTTTCTCACTTATTCTTATGATAAGGTCTCTCTATCTACTTGAACGAGAACCTCTTATTTGTTTCTACATCTGGTATCTCGGAAATTTCCAAAATAGCTGTCTACTTCCTGGTGTTCACCATGTCCCCCTTGAGGCTGCTGGACCTCTTGTTCTTTGTTATGGACTTCAGAGTGGGCACTCTACCAATGTCATGCAATGCTAACACTGCACTATTGGAAATCAGATGGGGTTATCTCTCTGTGTTAAGCCCTTCACTGACTGTCCATTGCCATCAGAATAAAGTCTAAACTCCACAATGGGCCATGAAGTCCCGGAGTGAAAGGGCCCCTGCCTACCACTTTAGTCTCTCTGTTCACCACTGTACCAGTATTAGATCTTCCAGCCATATGGACTTCTTTCACTTTCTCCCTCTGAGCTTGCCCTCTCAATCTTAGGCCTCTGTATATATATCATATTCTATCTCTTTGCACCTAATTCACTTCTCATCTTCCTCAGGTGTCAGCTACATTTGTCACTTGGAGCATCCTCATCTGTCCCACTCCCTGTTTCTGCTGGTTGCTTCTCTCTGTGGGACAGGCTGGTTGGCCATCTCACCACACAGTGACGCCCTCCCAGCTCTGCTCATTCTCCTTCTTACCATTTTTTCTCACTTAGAATTTCTGAGTCCACGGTACATGGATGGCACTTGTGTTTCAACCTGCAGCAATCACTACATGCGTTAACTTTTAAAAGCGTGCTTATTAAAAGGACTTTCAAAAATTGTGCACTGTTAACTTCATTCATTTGTATGAAAAGCCTTCATTGTAGAACTGTATGAACTGAAGAAGATATTGAAATGATCTTTATCACTTTTAATTAATTAGAAGCTGGGGCCAGGAGCAGTGGCTCATGCCTGTAATCCCAGCACTTTGGGAGGCCAAGGTGGGTGGATCACCTGAGGTCAGGAGTTCAAGACCAGCCTGGCCAACATGGCAAAACCCTGTCTCTACTAAAAGTACAAAAATTAGCCAGGCATGGTGGCATGTGCCTGTAATCCCAGCTACTAGAGGGGCTGAGGCAGGAGGATCACTTGAACCTGGGAGTTGGAGGTTGCAGTGAGCTGAGATCGTGCCACTGCACTCCAGCCTGGGTGACAGAGTGGGACTCCATCTCAAAAAAAAAAAAAAAAAAAAAAAAGATAAGTTGGTATGGTTTGAATGTGGAATCCCTTCCAAAATTTGCATTGAAACTTAATCCCCATTGTGGTAGTATTAAGAGTGAGGCCTTCTGGGAGGTGCATTAGTCAACGCCCTTGTAAAAGAGGCTTCAGAGAGAGTTTATGTCTCTTGCTTTTCTGCTCTTCTGCCATGCGAGGATGCAGCAAGAAGGCCTTCACCAGGCCTCCCAGATGCTGGTGCCTTGATCTTGCACTCTCCAGCCTCCAGGACTAGAAGAAATAAATTTCTGTTCTTTGTAAGTTACTCAGTCTGTGGTATTTTATTACAGCACCATGAACAGACTAAGACAGAAGTCATTGTGTTGTTAACATGCAGAAATGCAGTTTAACAATGATCTGTGTTGGAAACATGCTGAATAAACCAGCTCTATTTTACTTCTGTGCTGTACAGAGTAGTGAATGCTTGATTTGGATTTAGATTTGGGTCTCACCTTTGCCTCTTGCCAGCCATGAGATCCCTGAGTAAGTACCTCCTCCGCCTCATTTGCAAGACAGGGACAAGTATGGACTCACAGGGCTAGTATGAAATAAAAATGGTAAGGTGCTTAGCACAGTGATTAGTGCCTATTAAATGGATTCAGTACCTGCCATCACTAATGAATTGAAACTTCCCTGGGACTGTTAATGAGAGACAAGGGTGATGTCTGAAATTTTTGCTATTAGTTGTAGAAGGAATAAAAAACTAGGGCCTCCAACTAAATTAATCATAGAGGGAATAAAAATAAGGTCCTCTAAGTAAATTGATGAAGCTTAAACTCATTGACCTTTGACACTGAAACATCATGACCTTTTTGCAGGCCAAGTAACATTTCTGGGCATCATTTTTTTCCCTCATTATAAAACTACATGAGCTGTTTTGATTCCTTTCACCTCTAACTTTAATTTGCAGAATGGTTAAGAGAACTGAAATTATTTTCTCCTATGGCTTCTTTGTCGTCATTTTCACCGTTTAATATATGATAATTGAAGTAACTGTTTCCTTGGAAGTAACTTGAATTCAGAGTTTAAAATTTCTGGAAGGAAAATTTATCATAGCCTTAGAATGGGGTATTGAAGGTCAGTCTGAGTTTCTGAGTAGATAGAACTGAAATATGCATCATTGTTTTCTTAGAATAGTGAGCTCCTTTCCTTCAGAATCTTTATTTGAATATCAAAGGAGACATCAAAGGTTGTTCGACTCCTCCATGGAATGCCTTTGCCTATTAAGGTTTAGACGAGGCACTTCATGGGTTCAAGGAAAGTACATTAAAGAGAGAACCCATAAACACTTAAGTTTCCTTTATTGTTAAGTGTCAAAAGACACTTAAAATTCTTTTGTTGTTTTTGTTAAGCTTTTGCTTTTTTTCTGATGTGAGCTGTGTCTTTGCTATATTCTGATCAACTGAGAAATCTTTTTTCTTGAGTTTCAAAGAGAAGCAGTAAATCTGCATTTCTGTTGAAAAAGCTCTGATTCCAAAACATTTTTTTGATCTGAATATGTGACTCTTTACTAATTTCCTTTTTGCGTTGAAAGAGCAAAGGAAGTTAAGTCAATTAAGATTGATGTTCTAGAAGAAATTTCATATATCACTGTTTATGATTTGTTGCTATAATGTTAAACAGTTACAATTCATTGTATCTGAGATGTTTGCTACCTGGAGCTGACATTTAGGCAAAAATTATCAGGTGTTTATAGATTCTGAGAACAGCTGGAAAGACTAATTTCATATCTTCATTGAAATCATTAGTATTCCGGGTAAGGGAAATGGCACTATTACCATTTCCAGTGGAAAGTGGTTTTTCTCTTCCAACTTGCTGCCACATTCCAAACTGTGAGCACTTTTATTTTGTACCCTGATCTACCACGAGAGGGTAAGGAAAACACAGAAAAAGAAAAGGGGTAGGCCGGGTGTGGTGGCTCACACCTGTAATCCCAGCACTTTGGGAGGCAGAGGCGGGTGGATCACGAGGTCAGGAGATCGAGACCATCCTGGCTAACACAGTGAAACCCCGTCTCTACTAAAAATACAACAACAACAACAAAAAAAAAATTAGCCAGGCATGGTGGTAGTCCCAGCTACTCAGGAGGCTGAGGCAGGAAAATGGCATGAACCCAGGAAGCGGAGCTTGCAGTGAGCCGAGATTGTGCCACTGCACTCCAGCCTGGGTGACAGAGCGAGACTCCGTCTCCAAAAAAAAAAAAAAAAGAAAAAAGAAAAAAAGAAAGAAAAGAAAAGGGGTAGATGTTTACAATTTGATTTGGCTCAGTAAGCATTTATTGATCATCTTGCTATATGTGTTAAAAATATTCAAATAACACTTGTTAAAGCACTGTAAGGAAAACCTTAAGGTGAGGATGGGTCTGTTGCAATTGATACGGAGACCACTGTGATGGAATTTTGCAGTAGTGGAGAGAGTTGGGGCTTAACTCTGAATATAGCATGGACAAGTGGGAATTTATAGCCAGTGAGCAGGGTGTGGTGGGTTGGGGGGGCATCAGTGGATGGAAAATTACTAAGAGAAAACATCATGAATAAGGGAGAATTCTGGCTAAATAGACCTAACAGGATTATTCCTAAAGATAGGCCAGGGTGATGAGACATCTCCTGGGAGACGGTGGAGGATGAAAAACTTGATTAGATATTGACAGTGATCAGCTCTGATGGTGGGGGTTTCTGGCTAAACTGATTTAGCGGGATTCTCGCTAAGACTGGATTTTACAAGAAAGTACACAGATGGGCCTAGGAGAAGGTTCAGGAACCTGACTAGGTTTTGGTCAAACAAAGAAACTTTGTCATATGATCAATTATTTATTGACGTGATAATTCTGTGTTAACAAAGGTCATTGATTTATAATAAGCATTTATTTAGTTCTCAAGATTATGGGTGGGTAGATGATTATGGTTGGCTGGTTGTTCTGATCTCTGCTAATATCTCTCAATAGGATTTGAGGACCAAGTAACTATGGATGGTAAACTTGACCTTTATTTGAACATGATATACTGGGATGGTGGATGTGAGTAGTCAGAAAATTTGGGTATGTGGGAGCGTAGATTAGGGAATTTACTATGGCTAACCTTAGTCTTTTGCTTTTATTTGGCAAGAATCAGAAGTTGTTACAAATACTGTTTTACAATGCCAATAACCTTGATGCCAATACCCTCGATTAATGTTCAACTGTTTTTTCATATGCAACTTCAAATTTTGAAGGGCCTCCTCCAGGTGAAGGGTCAACTAATATTTGACTTTTCACGAATCCCTTGACATTCCTTTCTCTTTTTTTTTGAAATTGGGTAGTTTCTTCGTTTTTCCTTCGTCAGTTTTGGTGTCATCAGTTGGTGAGAACATCCAAGGATCACAATATTTTAGACCTAAAACTGACCCTGAGACCATTTGGTCTAACATTCATTAATAAAGGAAGGAAGTAAAGCTCAGGTAGATTTATTTTACATCATGTGACAAGTTAGATGGGATCAGAGGAATAGAACCCTGGACCCTTAGTTCTCATTCTGTTGGTTTCATCAGTGGTCTGGTTTTGTTGTTGACATGTTCTCTGGCTTTGCAAGGAAAAGAATGGAGAACTTGACTGGAATTAGAAAAAAATAGTAATAGCATTTACATAGTAAATTGTATTTGAAGACAATTTTAGGTACTTTATCTTATAGTTGCAATGAATAGCTGAGAGAATCTGATGTCATAGTTAAGTATTATTTCCAGTTTTATGTTCTCCTCCTTTAGAAGAAAGAAATTATAATGTTCTTCCTCATGGAATTGTTGTAAGTGGTGAATAAGTTACTACACTCAAATCACTTAGATTAGTGTCTGGGACATATTAGTTGTTGCTATTTTTATTATTGCTGTTAATAGTATTGTTATTGAGTGTTGTTATTTGGTTCTACTTCACAGATCGTGTGTATTGGACTGATGGGGAAAGTTTGTTTATTTTTGGTGTGGGTAGGGGAAGAGGAAAAGATGCAGAGAATTTAGCCCTTAGAGTGCTCCTGTCTGAGCTTAGGGATCTCAGCCTCTGACCTAGTGTTTACCAAAAAAGAGGGCCATGTTATTTTGGGTTACTTTCTCATTTACTATTGGTCAACAACTAGAAATAGAAATCTTGAAGAGGTCATCTTTTTTTTTCGTCCACTGCTCTCTTTACCAATTTAGGCTTTCATTACATTGGGATGCTACATTTTATTTTATTTTATTTTTTTTATTTTTTTATTTTTTTATTTTTTATTTTTATTTTTTTGAGACGGAGTCTCGCTCTGTCGCCCAGGCTGGAGTGCAGTGGCGGGATCTCGGCTCACTGCAAGCTCCGCCTCCCGGGTTCACGCCATTCTCCTTCCTCAGCCTCCCAAGTAGCTGGGACTACAGGCGCCCGCCACTACGCCCGGCTAATTTTTTGTATTTTTAGTAGAGACGGGGTTTCACCGTTTTAGCCGGGATGGTCTCGATCTCCTGACCTCGTGATCCGCCGCTACATTTTAACAATAAATTATTTGGTGCCTTTAGCTTCTTGAGAAATGGACTTTCTCAGGAAACCAGGGGACACTTTACAAATATGACTCAGTGAAATAGCCATCATAGCAAGCTTTCAGAGAAACAAAATATGGAGAATTGGCTGGGTGTGGTGGCTCACGCCTGTAATCCCAGCACTTTGAGAGGCCGAGGTGGGTGGATCACCTGAGGTCAGGAGTTTGAGACCAGCCTGGCCAACATGGCGAAACCCTGTCTCTACTAAAAGTACAAATATTAGCCAGGCATGGTGGCGGGCTCCTGTAATCCTAGCTACTCATGAGGATGAGGC
Source organism: Homo sapiens (assembly GCF_000001405.40). NCBI lineage: Eukaryota > Metazoa > Chordata > Mammalia > Primates > Hominidae > Homo > Homo sapiens. The sequence goes on along the minus strand of NC_000012.12, from coordinate 29,663,628 downwards.
AGGAGAATAGCTTGAACCCGGGAGGCAGAAGTTGCAGTGAGCTGAGATCACGCCACTACACTCTAGCCTGGGCGACAAGAGTAAGACTCTGTTTCAGAAAAAAGAAAAGGAAAATTTACCTAAAAATATCCTAAACTTTGTGGTTTGTTGTTCTATAGAAAGGAAAACCACTGCTAATTTTTCCACTATGTTAAAATAAACAGGCAACAGAGGGAACTTGAGGAAGGACGTTTCCAGAAGCAGATCACCCCAGAAAGTGCCTTTTTATTCAGATGTATTACTTCTCCAGCCCTCCCCAGCACCTTTTCCATTTCCACTGTGTCATTCTCTTTGCCTTTCTGCTGCCATTGATACATCCTGAAAAGGAACAGCAGAAATAACCAGAGTGGTCGTGGTTGAGTTGGCCTGAAAATAATAGTCACAATAGAGGCAGAGCTGAGAGAAGGACGCTGAGCAGGGCTTTACCTTTTAGGCAACGAAGAACCCAGTTGACACTAAAGATCGAAGTCAAGGACTTTGCCTCAGAAAAATACACACAAAATCTTGTGTAAATTTCAGGAAGCAGCGGACCCCCTAAAGCCCATTTTGGGACAGTAGCTATCCCCGTGGGTTGTGAGAGCTGACAGTATCCCTGGTGTTCTTTCTTGTCAAGCTCTCTGTTGGCAGCTAAGGAAGATGAAAGGGATTTAAATGCAGTGCTTGAGGATGGATCCAGTCCAGAGCTTGCTAAAAGCCAACTCTCTTTTGTGTTTTTTGGACTCCTCGTTTTCTCCACTCATTAAATACTTGAACGGCCAGATCTGAGCATGTATCACTTCCACAGCTCTTTATGGACCAGGCAGAGGAAAAGAGAGGTGAGAAGGAAGCGTGAGGCTCTCACCTCCTCACAGTACCATTTGTTACAAAGCAGAGGAGCCACATGTGTTTTGTAAGCAATCCTCTTTTTTTTTTTTTTTTTTTTTGAGACGGAGTCTCGCTCTGTCACCCAAGCTGGACTGTCACCCAAGCTGGAGTGTAGTGGCACGATCTCGGCTCACTGCAACCTCCGCCTCCCGGGTTCAAATGATTCTTCTGTCTCAGCCTTCCGAGTAGCTGGGACTACAGGTGTCTGCCACCACGCCTGGCTAATTTTTGTATTTTTAATAGAGATGGGGTTTCACCATATTGACCAGGCTGGTCTCGAACTCCTGACCTCGTGATCCGCCTGCCTCCGCCTCCCAAAGTGCTGGGATTACAGGCGTGAGCCACCTCACCTGGCCATTGTAAGCAATCCTCAAGGTGGATAGACATTTCTTTGTGAGATATTAACCCACTCTGGTTTTTACAAAAGGATTTCTTACCTTATAGAACATTACCTTTGTGTAAAGAGACCTCATGCAGATTTTAATGCAAATTTTGTTGGGGAAAACCCCTTTGAGGAAAAATTGGATTTAAAAAGGAGAAAAAAACAATGAAAAGGGATAGAGGAAATAAGGATGAGGTGGGAAGTGCTTGCGGTTTATGCTATTTGATTTGACTTTTGTTTTCCCCCTCCATTCTGTATTTTCCGTGTAGAATTTTGCATGTAGGTGAAAATGACTTATGACTTATTTTATGTTTTCATTTGGGGCTTCTTAATACCGTCTCTTGATTCCCTTTCATCATCTTTTTCTAAAACCAGCCAACCACTTGTCTTATATGTAGATATCCAGAACTCCCAATTCCTATAAGTGAGTAAGCTACAGCAGGGCAGGATCCACACAGGTTCCTGCCCCTCTAGAAGCTGACGTTCTTGTAACCTAGTTTGGTTCCAAGAACCACAGGGAGGTGAGAAAATTATTCACTGGATACCAGTGAGCTCTAATCCTAACACAGATACTCATAACTTTGTTGCCTTAAAAAAATTATTTAACTGAGTGGGTGCAGTGGCTCACGCCTGTAATCTCAGCACTTTGGGAGGCTGAGGTGGGTGGATCACCTGAGGTCAGGAGTTCAAGACCAGCCTGGCCAACATGGCAAAACGCCATCTGTACTAAAAATACAAAAATACTAAAAATACAAAAATACTAAAAATACAAAAAGTACCTGTAGTCCCAACTACTCGGGAGGCTGAGGCATGAGAATCGCTTGAACCTGGGAGGTGGAGGTTGCAGTGAGCTGAGATCGCACCACTGCACTCCAGCCTGGGCGACGAGCAAAACTCCGTCTCAAAAAAAAAAAAAAAAAAAAATTACTTAACCTCCTACAACCTTGGCATCTTCTATTTTTAGAGGTAAGAGATCTGTGAGGTATTTTGTGGATGGAAGACATTGGAGCCTTCAAATTATATTAAGTAGGTAAATAAACTCTTATTTTGTTTAAGATTATCCCTGTGACCAGTGTAACTGTATTGTTTTCAAAATGACTGGGTTATTTGGGATTCGATGGGATAGTAATATTTATAGCTAACAGAGCTGAGTCCTGTTCTAGATATTATCTCATTTGTTCCTCCCAACTTTCCTGTGAGGTAGATACTATTATTGTCTCCCTTTTATAAGTGAGTAAAATAGATGTGCAAAGAGGTTCGGAAACTTGCCCGAGGTCTCCTGGGCTCTCAGCAGCAGCAGAACTGGGAACGGAAACCCAGGTGTTCTGGCTCCAGAGGCCCTGCTCTCAGCATTGTTCTCTGCAGCCTTCTTCAGAGCTGCAGCGTCTTCACCTTGAAAGGAGAACATTGTGTCTGGTAGACACACTTATCTAAGATTTTTTTTCTTTCCCGTTTTAGGTATCTGAGAGCAAGCAGCAATAGAAATTTCCTGCTTACCATGAGACCATTTTTAAAAAGGGCCATTTTGGTCCTAAGTTATGTAAGTATATATATATATATATATATACTTTTGAAATATCTGATAAGGAATGTTTCCACTCTATCTCAGCTCAGACATGTAATTCAAATTATTTAATAGAATCAGCAATAGACTCTAACATCATGACATTGGGATCAAACAGTTGGCATGCCGTAATGTTACAAAGCGTCCAAAGGTATATATGAAAGCATTCCAGGGATATGTGGATTTAATGATGTGGACAATGTGAACTGCAGTATTCTATGAGTCCCTTTCAAGATGCTGAGGCTGAGTTGTCTCAAGAGGAGGCAGTGCAATCCTGGCTGTATCAGTTGTCTATTGCTGCATAACAAACCACCCCCAGCTTTAGTGGCTTAAATATAACAACCCTGTATTTGCCCTACCTGCTTTAGTTTGGGCAGCATTCAGCTTTTCGGTTCTTCTGATCATCATGATTTGGGGCTGAGGTTACTCAATGAAGTTTATTCAGCTATCGTCTGAGCCAGTTCATCTCAGTTCTCCTCTACGTGATATCTCATCCCCGAGGGCCTCTCCCTGTTAGTTCTTTTTCCAGAGGGGTAGTCAAGACTTCCTTGCCACATGGCAGCTGGTTTCTAAAAGAATGAACTAAAAGTTGCTGCACCTCCCAAAGATTAGGTCCAGAACAGAGGTAAGGTACCTTCTGCATGTTCTGTTGGTCAGTACAAGCCAGCCACAAGACTAACTCAGATTTAAGGGAAGGGGTGACTGACTTCATTCCCTGTTAGAGGAACAGAATGCACCTGCAAAAAGGGTGGAGATTATTGGTGGCAATCTCACTGAATCTTCTTATTTTCTGAAGGTGCTTGTCATTTTGTACTTCCGTCTGTGGATAATGGGAGGATCTATGCCCCTCTTTTCAGAGCAGGATAATCCAGCTTCATTTTCGCCTTACATTCTTACGAGGTTAGTATAAATAATTTTTTTAAAACTTGGTATTTATTAGATAATTTTGAGTAATCTTAAATTACAGGCTGACTTTGCATATTGAGGATTGGGGTCTATCCTCCATGTGGGGAGAAAAGAAACTATACATTTGAAATTGTTTCCAATAAATAAAGCTGTTTTGGCAGTATTATTGCTATTGTTTCATTTGGTGTATATTTGTTTATTCAACAAATATTTAACTGGATACTGTCTTAGTTCATTTTCTGTTGCTATAAAAAAACTACTGGAGACTAGGTAATTTATAAAGAAAAGCGTTTATTTGGCCTACTATTCTGATGGCTGGAAAGTTAAGATTAGACATCTGGTGAGGGCTCAGGCTGCTTCCATTCATGGCCGAAGATGATGGTGAGCTGACTGTGTGCAGTGATCACATAGAGAGAGAGGAAGCAAGAGAGAGAGCGGAGGTGCCAGGTTCCTTTTTAGCAAATGGCTGTTGTGGGAACCAATAGAGCAAGAACTTACCTCCAAGGAAGGGCATTAATCTACTCATAAGGGTTCTGCCCTCCTCACCCAAACACCTCCCACTAGGCCTCCACACTACCACACTGGAGATTACATTTCGATATGAGATTTTGTGGGGACAAACAAACCATATCCAAACCATAGCAGGCACTTGTCAATAATAACTATCTATTGATTGATACATATGGTGAATGTTACAGAACAGTGTGCAGAGAATTGTGCAGAGGTTGACTGGATATCATAACCATTTGTAAGATAAAATAAGTGGGGTGGTTGGAAGTGACAAATAGAAATGAACAACAGTTTTTGCTAAGATACAGTTAATTATGCCATTTGTCCTTAAGAGTTCTGAGGGATTTGGGTCAAGAAGTAATGCTGATCAGTGGATCTGATTCACTGAATAGGATTTTAAGTCCTTAACTATTTTATTTGCTGTGATGTATAGCTGAGGCTTTCAGATGTAATTATATTTGACAGTTTTAATACCTTCCTTCAGAATATGTTGTTGCTATAATGTTTTAAGAATTGGGATGCCTTTCTTTTGGCTGGAACCACCATCTTCTAATAATTTGCTATGATGAGGAACACAAAGAAAAAGAGGAGAGGCACCCCATAGATGTTCTCTAAGACTTTTAGAAAACATGGAGTTGTTCCTTTGGCCACATACATGCAGATCTATAAGAAAGGTGATATTGTTGACATCAAGGGAATGGTTCCTGTTCGAAAAGGAAGGCCCCACAAATGTTTCCGTGGCAAAACTGGAGGAGTCTACAGTGTTACCCAGCTGCTGTTGGTGTTGTTATAAACAAACAAGTTCAGGGCAAGATTCTTGCTAAGCGATTTAATGTGCGTATTAAGCACTCTAAGAGCGGAGATAGCTTCCTGAAATGCATGAAAGAAAATGATCAGGAGAAGAAGGAAGGCAGAGAAGCACACTCTGTGAACGAGTGGAATGGAGTCTGGCCTACTGGAACCTATCCCCTATGAATTTGTGTCATAATAGATGTCAAAAAATAAATAAAAGACCTGTGGACTGTAAAAAATTAAAAATATAAAAAATTAAGATGCACTCTTCTAAAATGTTCATAGTTTTACATACCTTTAATGTTATCTAATATCATTTTAATGATAGCAACCTTCACTTTTTTTTTGTATTTGCAGAGACGTGATAAATTTTAAATCTTGATCTATGGGGCATTTATATTTTAGTTTATTCATATCTCTTAGGGACAACAGATTGTTAGATTTCGTTTTTTGTTTTTTGTTTTTGTTTTTGTTTTTTTGACATGGAGTCTCACTCTGTCTCCCAGTGTGGAGTGCAGTGGCGTGATCTCGGCTCACTGCAACCTCCGCCTCCCTGGTTCAAGTGATTCTCTTACCTCAGCCTCCCAAGCAGCTGGGACTACAGGCACATGCTAATTTTTTTATTTTTAGCAGAGAGGGGTTTTTGTCATGTTGGCCAGGCTGGCCTCAAACTTCTGACCTCAGGTGACCCACCTGCCTCAGCCTCTCCAAGTGCTGGGATTACAGGTGTGAACCACCGTGCCCAGCCTAGATTTTGTTTTTATGTCTGCCAGTGATCTTTGCTTTATATCATTAATTAACTTCTATGTTGGAATTAATAAATTTCTACTACTTTCTTTGCCTTGTATGCTTTTTAAGTTATTTCTAGTATTTTCTTCTCTTTCTTTGTCTTTATTTCCCATTTAAAAAGGATATATTCCAATTCGATTATCACATTTTTATAATAAAAACTATGTCATGTTTGTCTTCATTACTTCCAACGTGTTTGTATCAAACAAATCTTGAATATGCTCTCAGAAATAATGTGATATCCAACTTCTGGTGTTGGCTTACTTCTTCTCAGCAGTGTAGAACCTGTATAAATTGTTGTTTATATCTTATGTTTTAAAAATTCTTGTTTCATATATCCTTTAATTAAGCTTGACTTCTCTAACCCAGCTTTGTATTAATGTTGCAATCTACTCACCATTTTTAGGTATCTCTCCCTGGCCTTCAAAATCTCCAGGGCTGCTCATCCAGATATTTTTAGCTGTGCCAGCTCACTAATATATTTTCTTGTGTTCTGTAGCTCCTTAAATAACTACCTTTGTCTTTAAGAGAAAAACCAACTTTGCCATATATTCTTGGATAATGGCTCCATTTCCTTTAGCTTTGGGTTGATTTCATTCCAAGACTTCTTGTCTCCTGAATTTGAGCGTTCATTCTTATCTTTGTAGTTAGACATAGCATGTTCCCTGAGCTTACCAGTCTCCAAACACTAAGATGTACGGTTAAAAAGGACAGATGGGGGAGAACAAGAACATACTGCTGTCAACTCACCAACCAATTATTTTATTCCTATCTCATGTCATAAGTAAACAAGTGCTTGTCCCAAGGTCCTTGGTGTTAGGAAAAGGTGTCGCTGATATCTGACTCACAGCTGTCCTAGCTGTAACATCTTAGGGGCCAAGGGCATTAAGTGGTAGGGTTTTCTTATCCCTGCTGGTAGGAAAAAAAACTTCTTTGGTGGAACCTGTGGCAAAATTAGTACCTTGAGCCAACCATTTGCTAGATTCTGCCTTTCACTTCCAAGGCATATATATATACTTTTCAAAGGGATCTGCTAAATATTTTGTCCAGGACTTTCTGTCTGTGAATCAGTCCATCCAAGCGACTGTAACTCAGGCAGTTCAATTAATAAAAAGTGATGGAATAGAATATCCTAATATCCATATCTTTATATTCTTCCTTTCCTTTCTTTTGAGAAACATCTTTCTGTTCTTGTGTTTCAAATATAAAATATCAGCCTGGCCAACATGGTGAAAACCCATCTCTACCAAAAATACAAAAATTAACCAGGCATGGTGGCAGGCGCCTGTAATCCCAGCTACTTGGGAGGCTGAAGCAGGAGAATCGCTTGAACTGGGGAGGCAGAGGTTGCAGTGAGCCGAGATTGCACCACTCCAGCCTGGGTGACAGAGCGAGACTCTGTCTTTAAAAAAAAAAAAAAAAAAAGTATATGTGTATGTGTGTATATATATATATATATATATCCAGGGAAATTTCACTGACATTTGTTATGAATAGCTTTTCTCATTCCTCTGAGGTGGCCACATTAGAATTGACTCTTTTGAGCACCTAGAAAATGGTCTCTAATTCCTTTCCCGAGTAAAGTTCCTACTCAGTTTGCATATTTCTTTGTCCTGTCGTAGGCTGGTGATTCTTAAAGTGGACTGTCTTGGTCTGTTTCCTAGTTCTGTTGGCTTTTCTTTCCTTCTTAGCAGCTGTGCAGTTTAGCTGCGACTTGGCTGGCTCTGCAGTCTGTTGTGAGTAACCAGGGGCTTGCCAGGTGGTTATGGCCGTCTGGCTCCTTGATGCTTCTTCTCTTTTACTGAATTTAGGAACTTTGCGCATCTTTCAGTTGCATTTTTGCTACTGTCTTGCAAGTATTGTTTCTTATTTTAAAGTAGGTATAATAAGTTATTATCGGGTGAGAGTTTTCAGTTTAGCTTTTTTTTCCCCATTTAGTAGCTGTTATGGTTATTAATTACATGTAATTTTTAAAAATCCTAATAACTTTTAAGAGGAGCTTGGTCAAGCCTTCTTTGTTTCAAAGGACTTGACTTGTGAGATTCACTCGTTTACATTATCTATTTCTGTGTGTTTAACTCAGAGGGAATACCCTGTCATTTTCTGCTTACACTGAGCTTCAAATTCATTGTGGTATGCTTATGAAAAACCTTTGTTAAGCAAAATTTCTAAGACATGGGAACAAAACAAAAGATGATTATGTGACATTCACAGTAATGTAGAACATTATGTGACAAACTGAGAGGAATACAACATTGGTAGGCTTATTATTTGCTGCTTACTATATTTTACAACGTTGTCATCTTAGAATTTAATGTACAGAAACATGATAGTTGTGATGATTTCTTTCCTCTCTAGTGGAAAAAATAAAACTTAAAATATTAGTTTTATTGCCTTGCAGTACATTGGAAAAAAAATTGTTACTGATTTGCCAATCTCATTCCCATTCATTGTTTCCTGAAGACTACAAAAATCCCAATTTTTTAAATTCAGCTTGTATATGTGTATATAGTTATTTTATAATAGACCACCAGCCACTGGTCTACTTTCTGTGTCTGTAGATTTACCTATTCTGAACATGTATATAGAAATGGAATCATATGGCCAGGTGCGGTGGCTCACACCTGTAATCCCAGCACTTTGGGAGGCCGAGGCAGGCGGATCACGAGGTCAGGAGATGGAGACCATCCTGCCAACATGGTAAAACCCCATCTCTACTAAAAATACAAAAATTAGCTGGGTGTGGTGGCACGAGCCTGTAATCCAAGCTACTCAGGAGGCTGAGGCAGGAGAATCGCTTGAACCTGGGAGGTGGAGGTTGCAGTAAGCCGAGATCACGCCACTGCACTCTAGCCTGGTGACAGAGCAAGACTCCATTAAAAACAACAACAACAACAAAAAACAGAATCATATAATAGGTGGTATTCTGTGACTGGCTTCTTTCATTTAGCAGGTTATCAAGGTTCATCCATGTTGTAGCATATGTCAATACTTGATTCCTTTTTATTCCCCAGTAGCATTCCATTATATGGCTATACCATACATCTCATTTTTTTTTTTTTGATAAAAATGGACATTTGGGTTGTTTCCTCTTTTTGGCTATTACGAATAATGGTGCTATGAACATTCACATACAAGTTTTTGTGTAGATGTATGTTTTCATTTCTCTTGAGTATGTACCTAGGAGTGGAATTGCTGGATTATAAATGTTAACTTTATGTTTTACTTTTTGAGGAACTGCCAGAATATTTACCAAAGCAACTGCACCATTTTACATTCCTACCAGCAGTATGTGAGGATTCCACATTCTCTCTATTTTCACCAACATTTGTCTTTTTGACAGTGTGTTTTATTATAGCCATACCAATGGGTAGGGAATGGTATGTTATTGTGGTTTTGATGTACCTATATTTCCCTGGTGGCTAATGATGTTGAACATCTCCTTATGTATGTACTGACTCTTTTGCTGTCTTCTTTGGAACTACGTTGATGGAGATCCTTTGTTCACTTTTTAATTGGGTTGTTTGTCTTTTTATTTCCAAGTTGTAACATTTTTCTTAATATATTCTAGATACAAGTCCCTTATCTGACTTATGATTTATAAACACATTTTCTTTCTTTCTGTATATTGTCATTTCACTTACTTGATGATGTCCTTTGAAGCATGTAAGTTTTTTATTTTGATGAAGTCCAATTTATTTTTGTTGTTTCTAAGATACATATCTTCTATATCTAAGAAGGCTTTGCCTAACTCAAATTCTTTTCTGAACTCTCTTGGTCAAGTATCTTTTTCTCACATTTACGAGTTATACAAAACTTTAGTTTGTGCTGTGTATTTGTATGAAGATTATGTTTTTAATATTTAAAACATTGTGCTTTGATACAGTTGATGTTAACAGCAATTTGGAAGCCATTTAGAATTTGACCTTTTATTCTTGACCATTGGGTATATCAAGATGTAAGGTAGATTCCTTACAGAGTTGGATCATCATTATTCCAATGATGGAATTGGAGGTCATCATTATTCAGGATACACTGGTGAGAAGGCCCTTAATCTTTTAACTTTCCTTTTTAACCCAGACATTCAGATGTATTAGCTGTCAGTCAGTTCTTTGTGACTGACCAATAACTTTTCCAACCTGTAATTCATTGAGATTGTGTAGATCCATTTAGTGGCATGAAGTTGAATAGTAAATGCTTCTACTTTCCACTTGAGAAGAACAATATAATTAGAAACTAAAGAACAAAGGAGACATTGTATCTTTATCACACAACTTTCTTTTGATAAGCAAGTTCCCCAAGGCCCAATTGTCCATTTAGTTGTCCATGACACACAACCTGTCAGTCATGATTGCTGATGACTGCTTCCTTTCTTTCATTCCTCTCATCCAAGTAGTCCCCTCGTGCTGTGACTGCTCTTATTATTCGCCGGAATTCATGCAGCTATCTCCATCCCCACTGCCACCATCTTCCTGAAGGCCCTCACGGTTTCTGGCCTGTGTTCCTGAAATAGCTTCCTAATTTGTCTCTGTCCTCACAGTTTACTCTCCTCAGGTCCTCCATGTCATTTTCAAATGATATTTCTAGCTGGCTTGATATTTACAAGGTCAGTGGTTTCCTACACCCGTTAGGATCCACGAAGTGTAAGGGATCTGGCCATTGCCAGATATATAAGTATATATAAATAAAAAATATATATAATATATATTTTTATGAGACACAGTTCACAGTTTCACTCTGTCACCCAGACTGGAGTTCAGTGGCAAGATTTTGGCTCACTGCAACCTCTGTCTTCTGGGTTCAAGCAATTCTCCTGTCTCAGCCTCCTGAATAGCTGGGATTACAGGCGTATACCACCACACCCAGCTAATTTTTGTATTTTTAGTAGAAACGGGGTTTCACCATGTTGGTCAGGCTGGTGTTGAACTCCTGACCTCAGGTGATCCACCCTTCTAGGCTTCCCAAAATGCTGGAATTTCAGGCGTGAGCCACTGTGCCCAGCGAAGATATTTATTCCATCTCATTACACTTTATTGTTATAGACTATTCCCCAATTTTTCCTTCCCATTTAAATGTGAATTTCTCAAGGGCAGAAACCATATCTTATCTTTCTTTGTATCTTTGGCAGGTTTTACAGTGCTGAGCACAGGACAGAGCCATGATAATTGTTTACTGTTTGATGGATGAATGCATGATTGACTCTGCTGTCATAGGCCTGCTGCTTCTATGAACATTACACTACCTTTGCCTTTTTGTTTCTGAAGGCCACTTTGCACTACCACCTCTGGATATATCCTTGTTTTGCTTTTTGTCGTTAAGACATTTTCAACTGCATGTGCTTTTATGCACCCTGGTATAGAGGCGGTAACTCTGCTCTGTCATGAGAATGACCCACACAGTGCAGTGATAGGCTTGAAATGCATGCAGTTATGGAACCCCAATATCATCTTGGGTCTTCCTCTTTGAGATTTAAAGAAAACTGGCTTAAATTCTTTCCCACGTTCTTGAGTGTTCATTGCCCTCCTCAGGATTTATATGCTTCCCTAGAACCTTACATTCTCATGGGACATCTCCCATTGCATTTTCCCTTTCCTGCTAAACTCTACATCTGGTCCCTGTTACACTGCCCATGGCCACTCTTCTTTCCTTTTTTTGTGCCAACCAAGTTACCAGAGGGCATAGACCTTTCACATTCATATCCCCTATAGTACCACTCATAAAAGGCATTTGTGTACAAGGGACTTTACAGAAATCTGGAGACAAAAAGCAGAGTTACATCACAGAACCATGCCACAGGTAACTTACATTAATCATCTTGCACAAAATCTTCCAGCATCTCTTCCACTGGGGAATTCTCAATGGCTAATTTTTTTTTTTTTTGGGCAAGTTTTTTGCTTCAGTTATTTGCTTAGCCCTACCTCTCTCCTTTTTTGTTCTTCATTTTCTGTTCCTCCTTTGTCCAAATTCCTAATAATTTCTTACATAGCCCTAGACTATATAGGCCACCCAAGACTAAATTATCTCTAAAATCTCACACACCTATGCCTCACCTAGGTGAGATGAGGGTATGCTAAGGTAATAGCAAGCTCTGAAATTAAAATGACTGAACATGAAAAGGTTTAATTTTTTGTTCACAGGAGGAGGGCTGTGGGCCCAGTAACTTTCTAGGGATGCTGCCTTCCAGCTGGTGACTCTGTGTTCTGAGCTGCTTGCATTTTATAGTCCTGCCATCTGGAATGGCTAAGTCAGTGTAGCAGAGGGAGAGAAAGTTAGTGGGGCCCTAACTTCTTATATTGAAACTTACAAATACATATTACAAAAGCGGAGAGAACAGTATAATGAACTCCATGTTTGTCCCTATCACTCAGTTTCAGCATTTATCAACTATGCTTAATCTTATTCCATCAATAGCCCCACCCACTAATAGTCCCTCTTGTTTTCCCTGACCCACCACCAACTGTTTGGAAACTAGTCCCAACTATAGTGCCAGTTCAGTCATCATTATTTCAGCATACTATATCTCTAAATGATATGGCTGTCTTTTAAAATATACAGCCACAGTATTCTCATGGTAGCTACAAAAAAATTTCCAACCATTCTTTAATATCATGAAGTATTCATTCCACTACGCAGCTTATAAGTGTTTCAGCCTCAAGGGACCCACATCACCTCTGCTCAGACCTGGAGGCCAGAAGTAGTCATGTGCCCCCTCCAAATGCAAAGGGGCTGGAAAGCGTAGCCCCCCGTGTGCCTCAGAAGAAAATCAAACACACTGGATGAATACATAGTTTTGTGTCTGATACAGCCTACAGTGGTGTTTTCTTTTGAAACAACAACAAGAAATGTTGAAGAAGATCGTTTTCTTTCTGAGGGAAATTCCAGGTCTAGCTTTTTAGATAATATCTTTTTCTCCCCCTCTATTCACATATCAACAAGAGTCCTCAAGCCTGTTTCATGAACCACCAGAACTGAACGCCTCGGAATCCTGGGCCCTTGCAGATCTCCATCCATTCCATTTACCTACAACATCGGTTAGTAGGTCTACGTCCCACCTGTTTGTGAAAGCTCAGATCATGCTGCTTCTTTAGAAAGGTTTCCCTGCTAGAAAACTTACACTGACTGCTTTCTGCTTCTAGTCTGTACACTTAGTTATTTATACCGTCATGTGAATTCCTGAATAAGACCATTGTTTCTTAACATTTCACCATGATCTGGTCACTGAAAGGATGAATGCTTTGACTTTGCCACTGAGAGAGGGAACCTGTTGATTTTGCAGTGTGAGAACCCCTGGAGAGGGTAGGTCTAGGGTAGGTGGCTGGGATGACCTGAGGCCCGGGTGTCTCACCTCAGGAAGAGAGGTGACAGTTCACAGAAGTCAAAATCAGAAAGTTAGGTAGGGGCTGGGCAAGGTGGCTCACACCTGTAATCCCGGCACTTTGGGAGGCTTAGGCGGGCAGATCACTTGAGGTCAGGAGTTTGAGACCAGCCTGGCTAACATGGTGAAACCCCATCTCTACTAAAAATACAAACATTAGCCAGGCATCATGGTGCACGTCTATAATCCCAGCTACTCGGGAGGCTGAGGCAGGAGAATGGCTTGAACCTTGGGAGGCAGAGGTTGCAGTGAGCTGAGATCGTGCCACTGCACTTCAGCCTGGGCAACAGACCGAGACTCCTCAAAGAAAAAAAAAAAAAGAAAAGAAAAGAAAAAAAGAGAAAGTTAAGTAAGAAGATGCTCTAAATGCAGATTGAGGTACTGAATAGTTTTGTTTATAGCCCTATGGATAACAACTACCTGATGGCCCTTAAAATTATCTTATGATCTTACTAGGCTTTGGCTCAGAGCCTGATACAAAAATAAATCCTTAGAACATTGTTGAATAAATAACTGGTGACCTTGGTTATAGTTAGCATCCTTAGAAAACGTTAAGCCTTGTCAAGCCACCCTTCTGAGAAGGTTGTAACACACCTGATATTCCACTCTGGGCACCAGAAAGTTGACTGTAATTATTAATTGCACACTGTCCCACCTCATTCCCCATGCCTTGTCCAATTTTCTGTCTTCAAAACCATCTGCAAGGGTCTGTCTACTTGTAACTTTATAAAAACAGCAAAATGTTTCCTTGGGAATGATGGAATTTATACTGTGAAATATCTGGTTAACTTGCACAATTACATATATGACAAAATAAAAATACAACACAGTGTGATTCTGATATTAATTTCCATTTTCTTCTCTAGAAGGGTGGTGAGGGCGTAAGCCAGGGGTGACTACAGGAACCCTCTCTTCCTGGACCCACCTGTCCGCAGTCCTGTTTTGTCAGCTTGGCTCTCTTACTTACCTCCTCTCTCCTTTAGTTTCTCATAGCTTGAAATCTGAATGACTGTATTTATGTTAGTCACAAAGAATGCTCTATTATCTTCTTTGTAGTTGCTCTAAATTTAGATTTTATTAAATTGCTCATTTTTTAACAACTAAGAAAATTTTGCCCTCATAGATCTAAATCCCTCCATCTGTCCTATCCCACGTGGAATTTCTATAGGAACAAGAGTCAGAAGTTTTCACAAGAGGTAAAAGAGGGTGAGTAGACATAGAGGCCACACAGTAAAACTGATGGACAACAATAACAAGTCAGGATAGTAGTTGGGAATTTTGAGAGTGGAGGGGGGCTGCAGCCAAGGGGAGAGTGGTGGGGTTGGAGTGGGAATCTAGAATGAAAAAGATAAAACCAAGGACAAGTGAATGTGGGCAGAGGTGGAGGATGGATGGGCCTGAAGACAGGTGATTGTCCAGATCCTTGCAGTCCACCAGAGGAGCTGCGGGCCCCATATGGCTACTTAGCACATCAAATGCTAGTTCCAATGGCCATGTGCTGGAAGTGTAAAGGCACACCGCATTTAGAAGACTTAGTAAGAAAAAAATGTAAAAAATCCCATTCATAATTTTTACATTGATTATCTACTGAAATGATAATATTTTGGGTATATTCATTGAAACAAAATATATTTCCGAAACTAATTCATCATGTTTCATTTTATTCTTTTTAATGTAGCTAATAGAAAATTGAAAATTATATATGCTTTCATTCTCTTTCTATTGGATGGCACTGGACTAGAACAAGCACTGTGCTCCTGGCTTGACCCCACGCCAGAAGGAGCTAGAAGGATGAGTGGCTGGTGAGACATGAGTGGTGTGTGCCGTAGATGCAGCACTCTCTGCAGCCTCTGTCTGCCTCTGGTTTGAATGGCCTCTTCCAATCTGCTGTGTTGTGTTTTGCTCAGCTGATTCTGAGTGGTGGGAAGATTTTATTGCACTCTGACTTAGAATTGCGCCAATTTAGAATTTGATTCTCATCTGAAAAAAAGAAAAGAAAAGAAAAGAAAATATTCTTCAAGACCCAAGACCATAGGTGCTTATGATACTTCTTGTAAATTCCCACTCAAAGTTGTTCTGTGAGTAGAGCCATGGAGGGGCCTTAAGAATTTATCTCAGCTAGGTTGTCAAACCTGAATGTGCCTCAAAAACACTAGGGAATCATGTTAAAGTATGAGTTCTGAAGTCCAGATGCCCAGAGTTTCTGCTTCCATGTTTTTTATGGACTTGCATTTGAAAAGTGATGGAATAGATTTTATGTGTAACCTGTCCTGTCAGAAAAGTGTCATTTGCTTCCAGATTTGCTCTTCTGTTTCTGTAAGTATCTTCAGAAATGTGATCCTTTGACCTCCACTCTTGTAAATCTGGGATTAAGGATAAAAACAAAAGCCCAAGTATGGCTTCTGCATAGGACTGGAGCCTTAAATGTCATTTCCACGACCATAGCCATGCTCTGCTGCCTAGAAATTGGTTTTGTCTTACCAGTTTGAAGGGGATAGGACATAAAGCAGCCTACACTTGATGGAAGAAGTATTGCCTTTATCACATTCAAATTGGTTGTCTTTCAAATCCAGAAAGGAGATAACATAGGATTTTCAGTGAAAGGATATGAAGGCTCTCTCTTAGCATCATATTTTTTCATGAGATTTGGTCCTGGATAAACAACTAGAATAGATTTGCTTGAGTGGTAGGTCTGTTTCTGCTGTTAAGAAATACAGGCAAAGGCTTGTATTACTTTGTAGGAAAAGATCAAGATAGGAAATAGCAAGATGAAACTAGAACGCAACATCTTCCACGTTCTAAAGAAGCTTCTTTCTCATCTTTCCATTTCGGTTGATGGTTTTAAAGAGACACAAAACCTTAGATCTTCATTGTTACAGCCTAGGACTCTATGTTGCATCCGTTATAGCCCCTAACATGGGGCTATCTCATAATAACCTCCGAACATTGAATTAAAATGTTTCTTTTGTAAAATAATATATTGTGTGTTTAAAGAGAGCTGTGCAAAATGAACTGCTCTGTTCTTGACTGAGCAACTAACAAAGCCTTCGAAACATGTTTATAGGGGCTCTTAAAACATGTTTTTTGGGGCAGGGCATAGTGGCTCATGCCTGTAATCCTAGCACTTTGGGAGGCTGAAGCAGGTGGATTGCCTGAGGTCAGGAGTTTGAGACCAGCATGACCAATATGGTGAATCTCTGTCTCTACTAAAAATACAAAAATTAGCTAGGCCTGGTGATATGCACCTGTAGTCCCAGCTACTCGGGAGGCTGAGGCAGAATTGCTTGAACCCGGGAGGCAGATGTTGCAGTGAGCCGAGATTGCGCCACTGTACTCCAGCCTGGGTGACAGAGTGACATTCTGTCTCAAAAAGAAACATGTTTTTTCGAAACGAAGCTGAAGCTGTTCTGTATTTTAGAGGTGTGATTACCAGACCTGAGTGAATGTGAGAATCAATCAAGGAAACATGTTTAATATAAAGATTCTCTGATTCATCTGACAGAAATTCTGATTGGGTAAGTCACAAGATTGGATGACAGAATCTTTGTATCAAACAGCAGCCTAATGAATTGGGGAGCCACCTGTTTTGAGAACCCTGGGCAAAAACTGTGTCCCCGGTAGCTGAAGAGTTCTCTGCCGGGGATGCTGCCCCTGTTATGTCTTTGTATTATAATATATTCATAGAAAAATAGCTTTTTGGGGATGAAAGAGATTATCAAGGTCAATGAGCGTAGTTTTCCAAACCAGAACGAAACTACGTCGTCATAATTTATTTAATTTGTCACAAGAAAAGGGAGAGAAGAGGGAGTCACATGAGAGAGCTTGTGGCAGTAGCAATTTTACCTGGGGACTAGGGATGGGTTGCTGAAAAATGCAGATCTGGATCACTTACTGATATTTTATTTGTTGAAGAAAACTATCTCATCCTTTAAATCTACATATTGTATTTCCATTACAATCTTAAATCCCAGAGAAGCTGATGAAAGTTAAAGGAACACTTCTTTTATTTTCTGCTAACATTGAAACATAAAGGCCAATATTGCTTTTCACACTGAAAAAAATGCCAAGCCTGAGCTTTTATTTAAGGATTCTACTTCTTGATGCTCTAACAAACATTTTCAGCAGTGCAATCAGTTTGATGTGTCGTTAGAGGAGATTATATATGGATTTTTAGTTTATGTCAACCCTGCTAGGACTACATGAAAGCTCCAGTTCTTCTGGGCTGCACTGATGAAGGAGTGAGTCAGGGTCTCAGGCGGGTGCTTCTCCATGAGACACCAGCATTTCACCCACCTTATTTCCTTTCACCTCTCCACATTGATAAAGAAATGCTAATGGGAGACCATATGATGCCATGGACAAGTGTATTTGGAGCCAGAAAACTCTGTCATATGTGTGCAAACTCTGCTATATGCTTGCAGTGGGAATTGAATGAATTACAGCCTCTTTTAGGCAATTTTCTTTGATGCAAGAATGAGCGTAATGCCCACTTCATAGAGGATTTGCTGTCAAATAATCCGTATACACAAATGCTTTGTAAACTAGCGAATGTTCTACATGCTAGTAGTATTTTTAATATTGTATGCGGTTCATTAATAGACCAACAGGATTCTTGTATAGAGACCTGGAGACCTGAGCCTGATGCGTGGTCAGCAGTCAGTTCATGCCTCCTCAATGAATGTTGAACCTGTGCTCAATGAGAGAAAGTATATTGGTTTGAAATAAACATGTTAAATCCTTTATAGCGAGAAAGATACCTTAGGCAAAAAAATGAACCCAGTATTTATTTTGCAGAAACTGTATTTCCTTTTTTGCAGATATATGGGTAAGAAGTTGCTAACATTCTCAGACGTTGAACTCCATTTTCCCTGCTCTGATGAAGCTCTCTATTAATAAGATTACTATATTAATGGCACATGTAAAAGGTCAGAAAGACAATGACATTTCAGATTCACTTTATACTTTATCCATGGTAACAAAAATTCTCATTTTAACTATGTTCATTGTAGTTTAATGCAAAATAAGAAAAAATAAGCTGGCATAGCTTCAGGAGGATGTTTCTGAGTGAAGGGAATGCCTGTAGCACTGGGTGCTGAAGAGGGCTACAAAAAGGCAGAATCTTCCATCTTTGCCCCTCAACTATATGCCTGGACAACTGCAAGTCTAGCAGATATCTTTTATTGGGTTGTAGAAAAGTATATGGTTGCCCCAGGCCGAAATGAAAGTATAAATTCAAGTATTTCCAGATTCTAAGGCATTATTTTATTATCAGGCTGATTTCTTAAAACCCATAGAATCCATTTATTTTAAGACCTGAGTGCTAGGGAAATAATTATAGACAGACATAGTCACTGCTCCTGAGGAGCTTCTGTTTTAGTGAGGAGGATGGGCACATTCATGGACAGTTACAGGGCAGTGTGCCAAGCCCCAGTGCAATGGGACACCCACCTGGCCTGGGGAGGGATGATATGGAAGGCTTGTCACAATGAGTGGTGTCTGCTTTGGGACCTGAAGGATCCAGAGGAGTTGGAGTTCAAGGACCTGTGAGAGTTGATTCCAGAAGATGAGGTGAGCTAGTCAGGTGCTGCGGTCAGAAATGTAAAACTTGAGGGTGAGGCAAGTGGTGTGAAGATGATAGAAAAGGAGAGGCTGGGGACAGAACTGCTAACTACACTCAGCCTCCATTATGAACAAGCACAAGAAGCCCCTGAGCAGAGGGTGGAGGTGGAGCAAATGCTAAGAGAAGCAGGGCAGCCAGGAGGAAGGCATGTAGCCTTCATGGAAGGGTGCTGCCTTTCTTTCTTGCAGCTGCTTAGTTTTGTTTCCCTAAGAATCTTAGTTCTATTCTGAGTTTTCTGTCTTTGAATTATTCTGGGAATTTTGTTTTTTTAATTTTCCATAGGTTATTGGTGGTACAGGTGGTATTTGGTTATGTGAGCAAGTTCCTTAGTGGTGATTTGTGAGATTTTGGTGCACCCATTATCCAAGCAGTATACACTGCACCATATTTGTAGTCTTTTATCCCTCGCCCCTCTCACACTCTTCCCCCCAAGTCCCCAAAGTCTGTTGTGTCATTTTTATGCCTTTGTATCCTCACAGCTTAGCTCCCGCATATCGGTGAGAACATACGATGTTTGGTTTTCCATTCCCGAGTTACTTCACTTAGAATAATAGTCTCTAGTCCCATCCAGGTCACTGCAAATGCCATAAATTCATTCCTTTTTATGGCTGTTTAGTATTTCATTATATATATATATACACACACACACACACACACACACACACACACACACACATATATATTTATATATTTATATTTATATTTATATTTATCTATAAATTATATATTTATATTTATATATAAATTATATATTTATATTTATATATAAATTATATATTTATATTTATATATAAATTATATATTTATATATATTTATATGTAAGTATATATAAATATATATTTAAATTTATATATATTTATTTATATATATTTATATATAATTTTATATTTATTTATATATATTTAAATTTATATATAAAAATATATATAAATATATATAAATATATAAATATATATAAATATATAAATATATATAAATATATAAATATGTATATAAATATATATAAATATATAAATATATGTGTATTATAAATATTTATATATATTTATTATAATATATATTTATATATTATATATATAATATATAATATATATAATATATATAATATATAGATATATATTATATATTATATAATATAACATATATATTATATATATAATATATAGATATATATTATATATAATATATAATATATATTTATATATGACATATATTATATATTATAATATATAACATATATGTGATATATATTATATATTTTATATTATATTATATATAAAATATATAATATATAATATTTTTTATATTCCATCATATATATATTCCATCATATATATGTGATATATATATATATATCACAGTTTATCCACTCGTTGATTGATGGGTATTTGGGTTGGTTCACCATAGCATTGTGCTATTGTGAATTGTGCTGCTATAAACATGCATGTGCAAGTATCTTTTTCGAATAATAACTTCTTATGTTCTGGGTAGATACCCAGTGTGGGATTGCTGCATCAAATGGTAGATCTACTTTTAGTTCTTTAAGGAATCTCCACATTGTTTTCCATAGTGGCTGTACTAGTTTACATTCCTACCAGCAGTGTAGAAGTGTTCCCTGTTCACCACATCCATGCCAACATATACTGTTTTTGATTTTTTTGATTATGGCCATTCTCCCAGGAGTAAGGCGGTATCACATTGTGGTTTTGATTTGCATTTCCCCGATCATTAGTGATGTTGAGCATTTTTTCACGTTTGTTGGCCATTTGTATATCTTCTTTTGAGAATTATCTATTCATGTCCTTAACCCACTTTTTGATGGGTTTTTTTGTTTGTTTGTTTGTTTGGGAGTTTTTTTTTTTGAGATGGAGTCTCGCTCTGTCACCCAGGCTGGAGTGCAGTGGCGCGATCTCGGCTCACTGTAAGCTCCGCCTCCTGGGTTCACGCCATTCTCCTGCCTCAGCCTCCTGAATAGCTGGGACCACAGGCGCCCGCCACCACGCCCGGCTAATTTTTCATATTTTTAGTGGAGACGGGGTTTCACCATGTTAGCCAGAATGGTCTTGATCTCCTGACCTCATGATCCACCCACCTCGGCCTCCCAAAGTGCTGGGATTACAGGCGTGAGCCACTGCGCCTGGCCTATTTTTTATTTTTCTTACTGATTTGTTTGAGGATTTGTTTCAAGATTTAGAGCCGCTTTTAGCAGTTCTTGTAGTGATGGCTTGGTAATTGTGAATTCTCTCAGCATTTGTTTGTCTGAAAAAGACTTTTTTTTCTTCATATATGATACTTAGTTTTGCTGGATACAATATTCTTCACTGATAATTGTTTTGTTTGAGGAGGCTGAAGATAAGGCCCCAATCCCTTCTAGCTTGTAGGGTTTCTGCTGAGAAATCTGCTATTAATTTGATAGGTTTTTCCTTAAAGGTTACCTGGTGCTTCTGTGTCTCACAGCTCCTAAGATTCTTTTCTTCGCCTTAACTTTGGATAACCTGATGACAACGTGCCTAGGCAAAGATCTTTTTGTGATGAATTTCCCGGTGTTCTTTGTGCTTCTTGTGTTTGGATGTCTAGATCTCTAGCAAGGACAGGCAAGTTTTCCTCGATTATTCCCCCAAATATGTTTTCCAAGCTTTTAGAATCCTCTTCTTCCTCAGGAACACTGATTATTCTTAGGTTTGGTCATTTAACATAATCCTAGACTTCTTGGAGGCTTTGTTCATATTTTCTTATTCTTTTTTCTTTGTCTTTGTTGGATTGGATTAATTCGAAGACCTTGTCTTTGAGCTCTGAATTTCTTCTTCTACTTGTTCAATTATATTGCTGAGAACTTCCAAGGCATTTCACATTTCTAAACATGTATCCAAAGTTTCCTGAAGTTTTGATTGCTTTTTCTTAAGCTATTTCCTTGAATATTTCTCCCTTCACTTCTTGTATCATATTTTGGATTTCCTTGCATTGGGCTTTGCCTTTCTCTGGTCCCTCCCTGATTAGTTTAATAACTAACCTCCTGAATTCTTCTCCAGGTAAATCAGGGATTTCTTCTTGGTTTGGATCCATTGCTGGTGAACTAGTGTGATTTTTTTGGGGGGGTATTGAAGAGCCTTGTTTTGTCATATTATCAGGGTCGGTTTTCTGGTTCCTTCTCATTTGGGTAGGTGCTGTCAGAGGGAAGGTCTAGGGCTGAAGGCTGTTGTTCAGATTCTTTTGTCCCACGGTGTGTTCCCTTGATGAAGTACTCTCCCCCATTTCCTATGGATGTGGCTTCCTGTGAGCCAAACTGCAGTGATTATTGTCTCTCTTCTGGATCTAGCCACCCATTGAATCTACTGGGCTCTGGGCTAGTACCAGGGGTTGTCTACAGAGTCCTGTGATATGAACCGTCTATGGGTCTCTCAGCCATGGATACTAGTGTCTGTTCCAGTGGAGGTGGCTGGGGTGTGCAATGGACTCCATGAGGGTTCTTAGCTTTGGTGGTTTAATGCTCTATTTTTGTGCTGGTTGGCCTCCTACCAGGAGGTGGTGCTTTCCAGAGAGCTTCATCTGTGCTAGTATAGGGAGGGACCGATGGTGGGCAGGGCCCTAGAACTCCCAAGAGTATATGCCCTTTGTCTTTTGCTACCAGGATGGGTAGGGAAGGACCATCAGGTGGGGGTAGGGCTGGGCATATCTGAGCTCAGACCCTCCTTGGGCGGGTCTTGCTGTGGCTGCTGTGGGGGCTGGGAGTGAGATTCCTAGGTCACTGGAATTGTGTATGTAGGAGGATTACGGCTGCCTCTGCTGAGTCATGCAGGTTGTCAGGGAAGCCGGGGAAAGCCGGCAGTCACAGGCCTCACCCAGCTCCCACACAAACCGAAGGGCTGGTCTCACTCCCACCATGCCCCCCTCAACAACCCCCAGACCGTAAGCGATATGAGGCTGTCTGCCTCCCAGCTGCATAAGAAAAGGGCTTGGTTCTTCCCTAGCCTGTGGAGTCTGCACATCAGATTTGCACCCTCCCCCGAGTTCTGGCCAGGAGGCTTCTCACCCCGTTCAAACTGTTACAAAGTTCAGCTAGAGATTTCCTTCTCTCTGTGTAGTTTTATCCCCTGCTTCTCTCCCATTGGATCCCTGTGGTTCCAGGCAGGAACGGCCTGCCAGGGGAGCCCGCGAGCTCCCAGGGCCTTTCTGCTGCTTCCTCTACCCCAGTATTTCACTTGGCTCTCCAAATTGACTCAGCTCCAGGTAAAGTCAGAAACTTCTCCCACAAACAGACCTTCAGCTTCTCCAGTTGTGGGGGACGTGTTTGGGAGAGGAGGGTCTCCCTTTCCCACTTCCACTGTTGGGGCATTCACAGTTTTGTGGGGGGTCTCCTGGGTCCTTAAGAGGGTCTGTGGGTCCTCTTGGGATTGCTGATTTGTTCTTGCAATCAATCTGGAGCTAAAATTCACAATGTGAGCCCCCCCTCGCTGCTCTGTCCACAGCTGCATCTGTTCCTGCCTCCTGTCTGCCGTGATCTCACCATACGTCTCTTCTGGGAATTTTAAAAATAGTCTCCGCCTTTAATTGAGCTCGGTTAATTGGACCATTCATCCTTGTAAGCCAGAGGAACTTTAACAGAACACAATGAGAAGCTTGTCGGAGTTGCTTGGCTCTCTTTTCTTCTTTCATCGGGTGTTTGGAAATAGTCTCACTATCTCTATGGGTCCCAGGTGCTGAAGCAGCAAGTGTTCAGGACTACTGATGGGTCTCGGCCCCGGAATGCCCCATGGGGGCATAGCACTTATCTAGCACCTTCTACTTTGCTGGCTTTTACATGATCCATTCCACTGGGGGATTGCCTGTGGCTTTCTAGTACCAGCCTTGTTTCCTGGAGCTCAGGTCCTGCTTCCAGTCATATATCGTTGTCTATAGATGGTTTTTCTTGATTTCCTTTTCTTTTGTGTCTTCTGTGCTTGTTCCACATTACCATTGTGAGGTTCCTCCATGTTGTTGCATTCATTCTCATTGCTGAATTGATTTCCATCACATGGATATTCCATAATGTATGTATGCATTTTATTGTAGATGGATATGTGAGTTGTCTCCAGTTTGGCGCTATTAAGAAAAGTCCTGCTATGAACAATCTTCTAAATGTCTTTTGGTAAACACTTGTGTCCAATGCTGTTGGGTGGAATTGCTTAGGAGTGGAATTGCTAGTTCATGAAATATGCATTTATTTTGCTTTCATGAAACTGCCTACAGTTCTGCAAAGTGGTTTAATCAATTTATAGTAGGATTTCAAAGTTCTAATTGCTCATCCTCACTGACATTTGACATGATATTTTATTTTAGACTTTCTACTGGTAGTAATTTTTATCATTTTTATATTATACATGTCTAATCCTGTACTCATAACTGTTCTTTAAAAATGTCATGTTTATTTACAATTTGAAGCTATTACTCTTGGGTGGCCCTGCCTGGACTATCTCCCATCTCTCCACCTACTTAAATTCTGTGGAGATTCTAGGATGTCTTCCCTTCATCTTCCATTTCTCATTAATCTATCATTTCTTAGAACTCCATTGAAGTTTGATATTAATATTACACTGTTCTCAACTATGTAATGTGTGTGTGTTCTCACCAGCAATGCAGCGAAAATGCTGTTGTGGAAGGCAGAGGCTAGATCATACTACCCTTTAGCACCTAGGAAGGCGTACGGGATAATTATTCAATGTTTAATGAATTCAAGTGAAGTTTCCCTGTGTATTGAGGAGGGTAGTGCAGGAAGTAGCTTTCTTTGGATAGTTCTGGAGAAGGTTATGGGCAGGGGAAGAAGATGCTAAAGACAGTAATTACCAGGTAATGCCTGTGTAGGCCTGTCATGGCTGGGGCCCAGTGAGGTGGAGACCCTTTGAAACATCAATGGTAATTCAGGAGTTATGAGGATGAAAACAGGCAGCAGCCTGGGAGGGAGCAGGACAGATCACCAAAACCTAGTGGTGAAACGGGAGGAGTTCCCTTATCCCCCTGGCAGGGTGTGTGATGGGGGAGTGGCTCGATTCTTCGGTGCCCTGCTGCTCAAACCCTTAGCCGAAGCATGCAGACCAGCCGGTCATGGGGAGAGTCTTTGGCTCCAACCCCCTGGCAGCATCTAGGGTTGAGTGTTTACAGCTGCTGAAGCACCAGTGGGTGTGTGTTACCGTGTGCTCTTTCAGCTTTGCCGTCTGCAGGCGGCTTGTGTTAATCAGCTCAATTAGACCCTCAGCCTTATCACCAGGACAGAGGGCTTTCTGTATCCTGAGTTCTTGCCCTAGTGTACCAGAAAAATCAGATCACACGTGGGCTTGGAGGATGGGTGCAAGGTTTTATTGAGTGGTAGAAGTAGCTCTCAGTGAGTTGGATGGGGATCCAGAAGGGAGATGGAGTGGGAAGGTAGTCTTTCCCTAGAGTCCAGCCGATCACCCTCAGCTGAATTCCATGTCATTCAGCCATCAATGTCCTGCCAGTGTCTGCTGGGGTCTGTCGGCGTGCTCTTCAGCTCTTCTGCTCCTCTCGATGTCCAGCCACTTGTATCTGTGCCCGCTAGGGTCTCAGGGTTTTATGGGCACAAGATGGGGGTCATGGTGGGCCAGAGGGGTTTTGGAAAATGCAACATTTGGGCACGAAAACAGGAGTGCCTGTTCTCACTTAGGTCCGTGAGCCCAAGCCTGAGGGTAGAGCCCTAGCCAGGGACCCCGCCCTTCTCTACCCAGCACTTCCCTGCCCGCCTCCCATGTCAGCGGTATCAGTAGAGTCTGGGCCGGGTGGGGTGCTCCTCACCAGTGGCATATTGACAGGTGGCAAATGGCCTTCCTAAGAGGAGGTGAGTGTGTACAGTGGACCCAATGTCCTGTATTTATAAAATGATAAAAGATTTTGTAGGCAAAAGTAAAAGAAAGATCCTATGAGCAATAACTTTTTTATGTAAAGCAAGCAAGAACTATATATTTCTGCTTGCAGTACCTGATTTTTTCATATGTACCTATCATAGACATCTTTCTAGGGCAAAGAAATATGTTAGGCTCATGTCATTTCTTAGCCAGATAGGTTTTTGCTGAGGCAGAGAACAGAATTTATGTATATTCTTGCACTTAAAACACTTTGATTTTTTTCTCGATAAAAATGAAAATTTAGATGTGAAGAGCCACACAGTTTTGTTAGGTGCCATTTGATGAATGCCATTTTCCCCACAGCCTCAGCTCCAGCTTGCCTTTCCCTTTCATGTTTTTCGGCCATGAAACCTCTTTACTCTTTTCTGGCTTATCAATGAAAATGCATGACTAAATTGTTTAAGCTGAATTCCTGGCTTTCTGTGCCATATATTCCATTTTGTTGGCAAGATATTCTTGTGACTTTCCTTCTGTTCACAGAATTTGTGGTAGAAAATTGGTAAATAATTCATTTTGGTTTTGCACTTGCTTTAAAAAAGATAACACAGCGGGGCAGAGATATTTGACAGATTATTTTGCTTCTGAAATTATAGCAGAAATAAACAGGATGATTTGCTTCAATGTAATTCATAGTGAAAGAATTAAAAAGAAATACTGTAGCTGTTGGACAGCTAGCTGAACTATCCCCTCCACCCCCTATCTCCAGTGTAATTAGCTTTTGAAGTGATTCCAAATGGCTTCTTTGTTTTTGTTGTTACTGTTGTTCTTTTGTGTGTGTGTGTGTGTGTGTGTGTGTGTGTGTGTGTGTTTCTCATTTTGTTTCGTTTCATTTTGAAACAGGATCTTGCTCTATTGCTCTAGGCTGCAGTGCAGTGGCACAATCACTGCTCACTCCAGCCTTGACCTCCCTGGCTAAAGTGATCCATCCTCTCAACTCAGCCTCTGGACTAGCTGGGACTACAGGTGTGTGCCACCACACCCAGCTAAGTTTTTTTTTTTTTTTTAATTTTTTGTAGAGATGAGGTCTTGCTGTGTTGCCTAGGCTTATCTCAAACTCTGGGGCTCAAGCAGTCCTCTCAGCTAGGCCTCCCAAGGTGCTCAGATTACAGGCATGAGGTACCATGCCCAGCTTACTGCAACCTCCACCTCCCAGGTTCAAGAGATTCCCCTGCCTCAGCCTCCCAAATAGCTGGGAATACAGGCACGCACCACCACACCCGGCTAATTTTTGTATTTTTAGTAGAGACAGGGTTTCACCATGTTGGACAGGATGGTCTCGATCTCTTGACCTTGTGATCCGCCCGCCTCGGCCTCCCAAAGTGCTGGGATTACAGGCATGAGCCACCGTGAAAGCATTTTTCTTTTGGTAACATGTAAATAACTATGTTGAGATTGTAACTTTAAAAAATTTTTGTTATATTTGTTTTTTGTCAATACAGTATTGCACATCTAGAAGACATAAAGAACTGAGGTCAACTTGCAGAGCAAGGCCAAAACGTAAACTCAAAATTAAATAATACATTCTGCATAGCAGTTCCAGATGTTCCATAGTCAAGCCGTAGGTGGAAATAAGATAAGAAAGTGTTACTATTGCAATTCTATTGCCTTTTTTCCCTAGTTAAAAAGTAGAGAAAGTGGCATAAAGAACCCCACATGCATGCCATCTTCCAGTTTCAATAATAACTCCAGGCCATCTTGTTTCATCCATATCCCACCTACTTTCTTTCCCTTCCTCTTCGTCAATTATTTTAAAGCAAATCCCAGACATCATCTTATTTCATATGTGTGTATGTTAGTATGTATTTCTAAAAGACGAGCACTCTTAAAAAAATTACCACAATACTATTATCACACTTTAACAGTGATTGTCTCTAGCCAATTCTGCCTCTTTCCAATCAGTATTTCAGTTTATTCTGACGGTGTCCTAAGTGGTTATTTTTAATAGTGGTTTCTTTGAATTAGCATCCAAACAAAATCTGTGCTTTGCTTGATATGTCTCTGAAGTTTCTTTTAATTTGCAAATGCCCTCTCCCTCCTTCTCTTCCCATAATTACAACGTACTTGTTTAAGAATCTGGGCCCTTTGTTTCCCACAGTCTGGATTTTGCACACTGCATCCCTGTGGTGTGATGTGGCATGTTCTGTTGTTTCCTGTGTTTGCTATAAACTGATAATTAGATTTAGGACTTGATTAGTTCAGGTTTGATTTTGTTTTTTCTTTTGACCTCATAGGCATGGTGTTTATTTCCATCAGGAGGACATCAGACTGTTTATTTCCCTTTCAGTGATGTTAAAGTTGATTAGTCAGTTCTAGGCACCTGAATTAGCCTGACCTAACTATTATAAATAAAGGACCTCATCGGCTTTTCACCTGATAATTTAAGCAGTCATTGATGATCATGCCTAGATCCATTATTTCCTCAAAAAGGCAATAATAGTTTTAAAGTCATTTTTAAGAGCTGGGATGTGACTGAGAGACAGAGCTACCCAATTTTTTCTTCTAAGTTTGATGGTTCACCACTTACCTGAAAAGCTAAGTCATAGAGAACCTTTAGTGGGCTGAAAGGTAGATGGCATCAGCCTGAAAGGTCTGTGAAAAAAGGAGCCCAAAATGATCCAATCACTTTCCTGTGGAGATGGCATTCTCAGGTGACAATGTCGCAGGCCCAAGCCTGAAAGATAAACGGCATTTTTTTTTTTTTGGCATTTTTTGTTGTTGTTAAATAACAAAGCCTGGACTTTATCAAACTTTCAGTATATACTACTCTATTTGTATATTACCTTTTAGTTAAAAATTACAACAGAGGGGAAAGAGTTGAACATCATTTAAATAGCCATGCCTCTTTCAACCCATGTCTTTGTTGGGGTTTGAGAGTCTGAGCGGTAAATAATCTCCCTCCTGCCCTGCAGCCTGATGGCTGTGGATGATTTTCCTTTCTACCACTGACCTTCAAAGAGTAACAGAGGAGGGGAGGAGAGAACTGAGAAGGTGTTCTAAACCAGTAGCTATTTGTTGACAGGAATTCAGGGTGAACTGACGCTTCACACTGGAAAGTAACTTGGAAATTATCTCATCTAATGTCTTTGCCAATCCAAGATTCCCTCTAAAAGAACCTGACAAATGAGGGAGAAACTTTCTTCACAGTCTGTGCTCTTATGGTGTTCATCTGTTTCCTTCTGCCTTTTTAATTCAGTATGTCCTATTTTCACTATTGGATTATACATTCCTTGAGGACAATGAATTCATCTAATTCTTCTGTTTGATCCCAAATAAGTTGACAAACACAATCAGATATGAGCTGAAGCAGTGAACACCGATTTCACTCCATCACTACTGACAGTAGGGGAAGGAGCAGAGCTTCATTCTGATTTGTGCAGAGGTGACTGGGCCTTTCAAAGGGAGGGTGAGGGAGTGGGTGGAGTGGGGGTTTTCAGTAGTGTCAGAGAGGTGAAGACTTACAGAGCATTGGTCCCTGTAGATGCAATTAGGCCGACTGTGCCCACTGGCTGACAGTTCTCAAAGTTAAAGTTCTGTGCTTCCAGAGATTGGGAGGCAGAGGCTCTGTCCTTCCTGATGATTACATTCCATAGGAATGGCTCTCGGGTCCTTGAGGGAGATGCTTCTGTGTTGTAAGAATTAAGTATTCACAGTCATAAGCACATTTTTGTAAATGCTGTTTAAAAAAAAAGGAGGTTGGGGGCATGTTGTAACGTGTTGACTAGAGCAAATAATAAATTCTCCTGACAGCATTTCTCAGGTAAGCATTTTAATGAGGGGCTGGGGTCATCCCAGGGACACAGCCTTATGCTGAGGCTATGCTAGAGTTTGATTGTCTCCTAATGCAGAGATTTGGACAAAGTTGTTATGTGCAGTTCTCAAGGGTCTAGAACACTGCTTAATAAGTGTGTTGACTGAATGAATTTAAATAAATTCCATTTTCTCTACCCCCAAAGTGAGGGGAACAACTAGAATGCCTTCCACTTTACCTTAGTGCCTAGTGGCAGCCAGGAAACAGGCATAACACCTCCTCCATCCATTGTCCCTGTGTCTACCTGGCTGTCCTTGTCAGCAAGGACACCTGCAGTTTCCCTCCTACCACATATTATCTCCATACCACAAATATTTTGATTTTTTGAAATAACTCAATATAGATCAGTGTAATATAAAAATGATGAAATATTTTCAAATCTACTGCAGAATTCTGGGCACTGTTAAGAAGGGACAGTTCAAATGTCTCTTTTCCTTCCTAGCATTCATTTCCAGTTGTAATATGTTTATTTGTATGATAATTTTAAAATATATGTCATGGAAACTGTATCTGTATTTGTTCACCATTAAAAGGTCAGCACCTCAGAGTGGCTAGAACCTATTAGATATATCCCAAATCTATCAATTTAATGAATAAATGAGTGAATGGCTTTCCATCTTCCCTTGTCTTCTCCTCCAAGATAACATTGACTGGGTAGAAATGCTATTTAATAAAAATATGGTGACTGAACGCTTACAGAATGTCATGGTTCTTGAGCAGTGTTTCAGTGATTCTTCTTCTCTTTATAGATTCCTCACCTATTCCTACCTCTTGGCCTTCAATGTGTGGCTTCTGCTTGCACCCGTGACCCTGTGCTATGACTGGCAGGTCGGCAGTATTCCTCTGGTAGAGACCATATGGGACATGCGGAACTTAGCCACCATCTTTCTGGCGGTTGTGATGGCCTTATTGAGCCTGCACTGCTTAGCAGCCTTTAAGGTAATTTTCTCAAAAGTAGAATGAACTCTGCATTTGAAGACAGATATTCTATGCCTATAATGTTCTTTTTAGTGCGGATGGTCTGGGTGTAAATTGAATCTCCTCTCCTTGTCTATGTAAATTTTTTGTAGCGGGTAATAACATACCATGGCCACCTTATAGATTTTTTGACTGTTTCTACTAACCCTGTATTGAAACTGAAGCTTAATGTTTGTAAATGAGAGGTTACTACTGTGGTTGGCTGATTTTCAAAGTAATTTATTTGACTTAATATAATGATAAATGAAATTGTGGTAAATAACCTATTTATAAATGCTTAAAATATGGTTAAGACTCTACTTTCATGAGTGACTGCCAGGGGTAGTTGGATGATTTCTCCCACTACTTCCCCAAAAAGTATAAAACTGTACAAAATTACTAAAAACAGCTATTTCAAAAATGACCAAAGACCAAAGGCAAATGTACTAGTTCATTATCATACTGCTATAAGGACATACCTGAGACTGGATAATTTATAAATGAAAGAGGTTTAGTTAGCTCACAGGTATGCAGGGCTGGGGAGGCCTTAGGAAACTTACAATCAGGGCAGAAGGGGAAGCAAACATGTCCTTCTTCACAAGGTGGCAGGAAAGAGAATAATGAGTGCCCAGTGAAGGGGAAGGGGAAAGCCCCTTATAAAACCATTATATCTAGTGAGAACTAACTCGCTATCACAGGAGCAGAATGGGGGAAACTGCCCCCATGATTTAACTATCTCCACCTGATCCCCACAACACATGGGGATTATGGGAACTACCATTCAAGATGAGATTTGGGTAGTGACACAGACAAATCATTTCAGCAAAGAACTTGAAAATGTTTGCTTATGAAAAACTGCTACTGCATTGGATAAGATGCTTTTACCTGAAGGTCTTTCCATCCTGTCAGATCTAGCAGTAAAAATTAATAAGTTTACTGGTTGGAATTGGCTGGTAAACTTTGGAAAGTTTTACAATTTTGGAAAAATTTGGTTTGGGAAAGAAACAGAGCAGCAAAAATTTAAGGGGAAAGTTTTGGAAGCAAGAGAAATATGAAAGGGCAGAGGTAATATACTCTCCATGCATTCGTGGCTGTTAAATGACATATGCACAAGCAAAATTAAAAGCCCTGGGAGACTTACTTGCTGCAAGTTTGAATCCATTCTTCAATGCGTGCACGAGTTGAGCAGCAGAGATTGGAAAATTCACTGGCTTGAGTTATCCATGTATAACCTCTGCCCAAATCATTGGCTGATCACAAAGCCATGTTGGCACAAGAGAAATCCCCAGAAATCCAGGCAAAAGAAAAAAGAACTGAGTAATAATTTCAGCATTCTGCAGAGAAACAGATTTTCCAGTTTGAGTCTATGGAAACTCATCAAATGTATTCAAACAGGAAAATCAACAATTTCAGAAGAACAAAATAGAATCCAGGGTCCCTACAATGTGTGGCATGCAACACCCAGTTTAACCAACGATTACTAGATATACGAAGAAACAGGAGTGTGTGATCAAACTCAGTTTTTTAAAAAGTGTCAATAGGAAATGGAATAGAATTGAGAATTCAGGGCTAAATCCACACTAATGGGATCAACTGTTTTTTGACATAGTTGTCAAAGTAATTCAATGGAGAAAGGATGGTCTTTTAAAAATGTAACTGAATATCTGTAAGGAAAAAATATGAATCTTAACCCTTACCTTATACAGTATACAGAAATTAATTCCAAGTGGATCATAGTCCTAAAAATAAAAGCAAATTACACCAAAATTTCTAAAAGAAAAGGAGAAAATCTTTGTGAATTTGACTTAAGCAAATATTTCTTAGAACACAATGTGAAAACTGTAAAAGAAAAAGTTGATAAATTGGACATCATCAAAATTAAATATTTTTTTCATCAAAAGATAATGTGAATTAAATGAAGAGGCAAGCCACAAATTGGGAGAAAATATTTGTAAAACATAAATCTACAAAGGCCTTGTATCTGAATATTAAAAGTGCTCTTAAAACTCAAGATTAACAAGGCAAAAACTAAAATGGAGAAAAGATCCAAGTAGACCCTGCACAGAAGAAGATATGCAAAGTTTTTAATTAATAAATACATGAAAAGATGCTCAGCATCATTAGTCATTAGAGAACTTCAAATTAAATCCACAAAGAGATACCATTATACTCTCACTATAATGACTATCATTAAAAAGATTCCCAACACTGAGCGTTGGCCACTGTGGAGCAACTGGAATCCTTATACATTACTGATGGGAATAAAAAATGATTCAGACATTTTGGAAAAATTTGGAAGTTTCTTAAAAAGTTAAACATAAAATTAAACAGCTCTACCTATCTCCACCTACTGAAAAGAAATGAAAACTTGCCCATATGAATATCGTGTCTGTGAATATTCATACAGCTTTATTTATAATAGCAGACAAAGTGGGAAAAATCTAATGACCTAACATGCAAATGGACGAACTCAGTGTCATCAATTATTCAGAAATTTTAGGGAACAAACTACGAATACATAAAACAATGTGGACAGACATGGATGAACATGGTGCTAAGTGAAAGAAGCCAGACATGTAAGACTGTATGCTATATGACATGGTTTGGCTGTGTCCCCACCCAAATTGAATTGTAGTTCCCATAATCCCCACATGTCATAGGAGGGACCCCATGAGAGGTAATTGACTCATGGGGGCAGTTACCCACATGCTGTTCTTGTGATAGTGAGAGAGTTCTCACGAGATCTGATGGTTTTATTAGGGGTTTTTCTCCCTTTGCTCAGCACTCATTCTGTCTCCTGCTGCCCAAGGTCCCTGCTTCCTCTTTACCTTCCACTATGATTGTAAGTTTCCTGAAGCCTCCCCAGCCATGCAGAACTGTGAGTCAATTAAACCTGTTTTCTTTATAAATTACCTAGTCTTGGGTATTTCTTCATAGCAGCATAAAAACAAACTAAATACCCTATATGATTCCATTCATGTGAAACTCTAAAAAAGGCATAATTATAATGACAGAAAACATGTGGGGTTGGAGGTTGACTATAACTTGAAATAACATTTTATGCTTTTTAAAATATGATTGTGGTAGTGAAACTCACCAAAATATATAACTTAAAATGGGTGAATTTGTTGTATGGGAACTTTACCTCAATAAAGTATAAAAAACGATTAAATATTGCAAATAGGTAAAAGGCTGGAATGAATACAGAACTGAAATTTAAACACAAAACATAAGGCCAATCCTGAAAATTGAATGAAAAAAATTTGAATGATTAAAACATCTTTTTAAAATTGAGGTGAAAGTTATATAACATACAATTAACTATTTTAAAGAGTACAATTTAGTGGTACTTAGTGTATTTACAGTGTTATACAACTGCCAGCACTTTCTAGTTTCAAAGCTTTTTCATTACCCCATAAAATACCCCCATACTTATTAAGTAATCACTCTCAGCTTTCCCCTCCTCCATCCCCTGATAACCTTTAATGTGCTTTCTGTCTCTATGAATTTGCCTATTCTGGGTATAGAATATAAAAGGAGTGTGAGCCCAAAATGTCTGAGACTGGCCTCAGCCAATTTAGAAAGTTTATTTTGCCAAGGTGAAGGACACACCTGTGACACAGCCTCAGGAGGTCCTGACTACAAGTGCCCTCTGTGGTAGGGGTACAGCTTGCTTTTGTACATTTTAGGGAGACATGAGACATCAATCATACATGTAAAACATACATTGGCTCGATATGGGAGGGCAGAACAACTTGAAGGGTGGAGGCACTTCCAGGTCATAGGTAGCTTTTTTTTTTTCTTTTTTTGAGACGGAGTCTCTCTCTGTTGCCCAGGCTGGAGTGCATTGGCGCATCTCCACTAACTGCAAACTCCACCTCCCGGGTTCACGCCATTCTCTTGCCTCAGCCTCCCGTGTAGCAGGGACTACAGGCGCCCGCCACCACGCCCGGCTAATTTTTTGTATTTTTTTAGTAGAGACGGGGTTTCACTGTGTTAGCCAGGATGGTCTCAATCTCCTGACCTCGTGATCCACCTGCCTCGGCCTCCCACAGTGCTGGGATTACAGATGTGAGCCACCGTGCCCGGCCCATCATAGGTAGCTTTAAAAATTTTCTGATTGGCAATTTGTTGAAAGAGTTATTATCAATAGAAAGGAATGCCTGAGGCCGGGCGCAGTCTCTGATGCCTGTAACCCCAGCACTTTGGGAGGCCAAGGCAGGCAGATCACTTGAGGCCAGGAGTTCAAGACCAGCCTGGCCAACATGGTGAAACCCCATCTCTACTAAAAATACAAAAATTAGCTGGGCATAGTGGTGTGCGCCTGTACTTCTAGCTACTTGGCAGGCTGAGGTGGAAGAATCTCTTGAACCCAGGAGGTGGAGGTTGCAGTGAGCCGAGATCGCACCACTTACTCCAGCCTGGGTGACAGAGCGAAGTCTGTCTCAAAAAATAACAATAAAAAATAAAGGAATGCTTGGGTTACAATAAAGGGTTGTAGAGACCTTGGTTTTACCATGCAGATGAAGCCTCCAAGTAGCAGGCTTTAGAGAGAATAGACTGTAAATGTTTCTTATAAAGTCTGTGTTGACGTTAATGCTGGTGGGATATAATGAGGTATGTCCAACCTGCTCTTTCATCATGGCCTGAACTAGATTTTCAGGTAACTCTGGAAAGCTCTCGAGCAAGAGGAGGGGTCCATTCAGATGGCTGGAAGCCTTAGAGTTTTATTTTTTGTTTACAGGAGTAATAAAACATGTAATCTTGTATGTCTGGCTTCTTTCACTTAACACCATATTCTTGATGTTCACTGAAGTTGTACCACGTTGTTCCTTTTCATGGCTGAATAATATTTCATTGTATGTAATGTAGGGGCAGAAAAACTCCACCACCATCCACTTAGGGTCACGCTTCTGTTCACTAATTAAG
The DNA here is from genome assembly GCF_000001405.40 of Homo sapiens. NCBI lineage: Eukaryota > Metazoa > Chordata > Mammalia > Primates > Hominidae > Homo > Homo sapiens. The sequence continues at coordinate 29,628,199 of NC_000012.12, read as the reverse complement.
TTGAGATAAGATAAGTAGGAGAAAACATGCACATTTATGTAATACAAGTTTTACATGTCACAGATGCCCTCATAAAGAATTAAAGAGTCAAAGAAGCAGTTGAAGTCCATTATTTATAAGCTGGATTGGACAAAGAATAGTAAATAGTGAAGGTACAACTAAATTATGTGGGGAAGCTTAGAAGATAAGAGTTACTTTAACAAGGTCTGCACATGATTCTCTCTGGTTATATTTCTCATCCTTGAGGATAAGGAAGCTGCGTCTTTTTGGTATGGGGAGGGCATCTTTCACATGGGAATTGCATTTTCTGTTTTAAGAAATAACAAGAAGGTCAAAGTGATCTTTTTGCACCTGCTGTTTTTCAAATGTTATGAACTTATATTCAAGTAATTTAAGTAAATATGCCAGAATATTTTAATACCTTTAGCATATACCACAGTTTGCTTATCCATTTATTCATTGATGGACATTCAATGTTTTCCTACTTTCGATGGTTTTTTTTTTTTTTTTTGGACTACTAAAAATAATGCTACTGTACATATTTGTGTACAAGTTTCTTTGTGGATATATGTTTTCATTTCTCTATAGCATATAACTAGGAGTGGATTGCTGAGTCATAAAGTAATTAAGTTTTCAACTTTTTGAAGCACTGACAAACTTCCGTAGTGGCTGTACCATGTTGCATTCCCTCCAGCAATGTACAAGAGCTCCTATTTCTCTACATCCCAACCAACACTTGTTATTTATCTTTTGTTATTTTAATTAAAGCTATCCTACTGAGTCTGAAGAGGTGACTTATTGTGGTTGTGATTTGCATTTCCTTAATGATCAATGAAGTTGAGCATCCTTTCATATGTTTATTGGCCATCCTTATATCTTCTCTGGAGAAATGTCTATTTAGGTCTTTGCCCATTTTTTAATTGGATTGTCTTTTTTGTTGTTGAGTTGTAAAGAATTATTTATATATTCAGGATATTAAACCCCTAAAAGATATTTGATTTGCAAATACTGTCTCTCATTCCGTAGGTTGGCCTTTTACATTCCTGATAATGTCCTTTGATGCACAAAAGTTTTTATTTTTTATTTTTTATTTTTTTTGAGATGGAGTTTCGCTCTTGTTACCTAGGCTGGAGTGCAATGGCGCAATCTCGGCTCACTGCAACTCCGCCTCCCGGGCTCAAGCAATTCTCCTGCCTCAGCCTCCCGAGTAGCTGAGATTACAGGCACCCACCACCACGCCCAGCTAATTTTTTGTATTTTTAGTAGAGATGTGGTTTCACTGTGTTGGCCAGGCTGGTCTCGAACTCCAGACCTCAAGTGATCCACCTGCCATGGCCTCCCAAAGTGCTGGGATTACAGGCATGAGCCACCATGCCTGACCAAAAGTTTTTAATTTTTGTGAAGTCCAATTTAGCTATGTTTTTCTTTTTCTATCATGCTCTTATTGTCAAATCTAAAAATACATGGCCAAATCCAAGGTCATGAAGATTTATGACTGTTTTCTTCTAAGAGTTTTGTGGTTTTAGCTCTTATATTTAGGTCATTGATTCATTTTTGAGTTAATCTTTGGGTGTGCAGTGAAGTAGGGATCCAACTTCATTCTTTTGCATGTGCTTATCCAGTTTTCTCTGCATCGTTTTTTGAAGAGGGTATTCTTTCTCCCTAAACACCTTATTTTAAAGTAACCATCTGATACATCTTTTTGTAAATGAATTTTATAAAGCAAGGATCATGTAAATAACCATCCTTAAGAAACTCTGGCATGCCAATTAGTTACATAAACTTGAGCTCAAATTTCACCTTGTTAGTAAGGTCTACTTTAACCATCCTATTTAAAATGTAGTCATATACTCTCTACTCCTTTCTTTATCTCCCTTTTACTTTTTAACTCCCTTCACTTAAACTTCAAGTTCTAAAATACTATATAGTTTGGTTATTTTACTTAATGCCTATTTCTGCCAACCAGAGCATGAGCCCCATGGGGACAAATATTTTTTGCTGTCTTGTTCACTGCCATACTTCTATCACTAAGAACTTGCCCCACTCAATATTTATTACCTAAATTTTATTTATTTATTATCTAAATTTGCCACTCAGTATCTATTATCTAAATGAATAAAACTGCAAAAAGTTAGCAATTCTGTTCAAATAGATTTTAGTCTAGAGAATCTTTTCTTGTAAGACATATATCTAAAGGCTTGAAAAGCACTGTGCTCAACAGCCGCATGAAATATTTAGGGGTGAATATGAGGTTTGTTTTATTATCTGACCTTAGCTCATGGATTGGTGTGCCTGCTCTATTGTAACTGATCTGCAGGAGCACATATAGTGGAGCCTGAATGGGTATGTCAGAAAGGGTTTTTCTTGACTTTCTCCCAGCTAATTAAGGGGACTGGTGATTCCCCACAGGCTGTCATCTCGGTCAAGTGTGTTAAACATAAGCTCTCATGATGGCAGTAGACCCTGCACACAGGCAAGTCTTGGCCCTCCCCAGAGTGTCTTTGATAACATGATGAATGAATGGAAACTTCCTCTGTGAAAGGCTGTTGATCCTTTTCTTTCAGGGAGTTTGTTTCAAAATCACTTTAATGCATCCTAAAAACTTAGCAGAACATTCCAGCTGTGGGGATAGTTAAGATTGAGCTCTTCTGTAGTGGCTTTCATCTTGAACATTCTTTGCAACCGTTTAACTAGAGCCTCTGGCAATTCTTGGCCACTTACACTCTCCAGGTTTTCTTCTTTCAGAGGTTGGAGACAGAGCTTTGCTCATGTTTTTGTGGCCTGGTTTCACTTTTCTTGATCTGCTTACACACCAGAAGGGAGATAGGAATCAGGCCTTACAGTCAGGTTCTCCTACTAGTTAGTAACCTCTCGAAGTGGGAATAATCCTGTTTTGTGTGTGTGTGATGATGAACTTCTAAGGACATGATGGTAAGGGCTTTGAATCTGAGGCAGTAAACAGGAGGATTAAACTTTTATGAACATAGAGGTCATGCTTTATGGACATTGTTCTGTGTTAAAAAGAAACAATAGATGAAATGTTTATAATAATGTCAGCAGAATAAGCACAGGTCGGTCCACCTGGAATATTTCCAAACGAGTTGTGTACTGAATCAGCAAGTATCGAGCTGAAATTATTTTATAATCCCTGATTATATCCATAAATTTTGAGATAGTGAAGCTATATATTACCAAGAAAAAAATACTGAATAAACAAGCGTATGCAGTGAGTCCAGAGATTCATGGAAAGATCTTTCATTTTCACCTTTGATTGATTCTCAATCATAGAAAACAACCTTGGCTTATATTGAAAGGAGAATATGTTCTTTGTAGCTTCACTACTTTTTCCTCTGTCCTTGTCTTAATATTGATTGAGTGCCTTTTGGTTGCTGTGATTAGCACAGTGAACAAAATGAAAGTCCCACCTGCATGGAGCTTACAGTTAAACACTTAAAATATGTCTTGATTTGTCAAATATTAGGTGATGCGAAGAGGTCAGGGCTGGCCTCACAGATAAGGTGACATTAGAGCAGAGACATGAAGGAAGTGCAAGGGTGAGCCATGTGGCTGTTTGGGGAAGAGCATTCCAAGAGCAGGGAAAGCCAGTGCCAAGTCCCTGAGGCAGGAAAGTACTAGACCCATCACAGACAGTAAGGAGGCTGAGATGGCTGGAGCCAAGTGGGCTGGGTACAGCCATATGAGTTGACATCAGTGTGATTAAGGAGCGAGTGTGTGCGATACTGTGTGTGATACCTTGAGCACACACAGTATCAAACCTCTATCTTTTTAAGCCTTCGCCTACTTTCCTTTCCCTTGCCATACTTCTTCCACCTGACCTCTGGCTCTGTTTTGTTTAGTTTTCTTCTTGGTGGGCCCAAGCCAGCGGAGGAAATAAGACTAGAGAAAGGAATTCAGGTCCTTGCTGGGCGCAGTGGCTCACGCCTGTAATCCCAGCACTTTGGGAGGCCAAGGAGGGTGGATCACTTGAGGTCAGGAGTTTGAAGCCAGCCTGGCCAATATGGTGAAACCCTGTCTTTACTAAAAATATAAAAAGTAGCTGGGCGTGATGGTGGGTGCATGTAATCCCAGATACTCAGGAGGCTGAGGCAGGAGAATCACTTGAACCTGGGAGGTAGAAGTTGCAGTGAGCCGAGATTGTGCCACTGTGCTCCAGCCAGGGCAACAGAGACTCCATCTCAAAAAACAAAAACAAAAACAAGACAGAGAATCCAGGTCTTTTAGCTGCTTCTGTGTGTGTCCATGGAGTGCAGGAGGTGGGGACTGAAGGAAAAGGACAGCTTTAGAGTCACTAGAGATTTGTAAGACATGCATATCTTGCTTTTAATTTAATTTAATTTAATTTAATTTAATTTATTTATTTATTTTTGAGCCGGAGTCTTGCTCTGTCGTCCAGGCTAGAGTGCAGTGGCACAATCTTGGCTCACTGCAACCTCCGTCTCCCGGGTTCAAGCGATTCTCCTGTCTCAGCCTCCTGAGTAGATGGAATTACAGGTGACCGCCATTGCGCCTGGCTAATTTTTGTATTTTCAGTAGAGACAGGGTTTCGCCAAGTTGGCCAGGCTTGTCTCAAACTCCTGACCTTGTGATCCACCCGCCTCGGCCTCCCAAAGTGTTGGGATTACAGGCATGAGCCACAGCTCCTGGCCTCTTTTACTAATATTAACCAGTTTTGTTGCATCATTTTGGGCAAGATATATGCTTATAATCTTTGTTTCTTCTCCAATTTACCAAAAACCTTCTTCTTGCTTCCTATTTCATCATCAACCAGGACACCAGATAGGTGGAGGTGGGAGCATACTCTTTCCTAATGCATTTGTATTTTACTTATTTGCATTTTATTAACATTTCAGTAATTAACTTTATAAAACTACAAATTAAGGCATGTAAGACAAATTAAGTCATGTAAAACAGTAGGTGTGTCATCTGTCAAAACCAATCCCCACAGCCTGCTCTTCATAGGCCTCTGTTGAATATCTGTTCCTCTACATTTTTATAACTATGCAAAACAAAAACAAATTCTTTCTTTTTTAGAAGTAAGTTAAGTTAGACACCATTACACATTGCAGACTATTCCAGGCCACTTCCATCTCTAGTTGAACTGTTTCTATGGGTAAGCAACTCAAAGAGTAGATGTTTTACTTTTGACAAGATCTTGTCCAGAATTGAGTGGGAGAGGCAGAATACAGAATCTAAATGCTCCTTTCTCTAGAAATAACCACACAATGAATTTAGAGATTGTTTCTAGTTTGTCTTATTTTCAGGGCATACGAAATTTAAGACCTCATGGAGTAGTTTATTATTTATCACGGAAGAGCTCAGTTGGCATCTTTGAGAATTTAAGAGTAGAATTTATCTCGTTCTGTGCCTCTCCTTCATCTCCTCCTTCTACTCACACACCATTCATTCTCTAGAAAGGCATTTGAATTTATATTACATAATGTAGAGAACAATCTAGAAATTTCTTATTGGATCGAATTGTTTTTAACAATGAATTTTAAAGTGAACTAATGTGCTCTGACCCTTTGTGATGAGGGTAATCACTCTGTGGGAATGCATGTACAGTTAAAGGATATTTAAGCCACAAAGGCTGAATATTCCATTCTTTTCTATGAATAGTGAGTGTGTATGCCCCAGGAGAACCACGGCTGAAAATGCACTTGAGTTTTTCTTTATGGCTCTTATAGACTTTATGTCAGACTGTTGACTTGCAATAAAAAGTGACATATATCAGGAAAGTAGCCAGTCTAATTTGGATTATTTAGAGCAGTTAATACTATTAGTCAGTCCTATTCTTTATAGTTCCCAATTTCCTGTGTTCTCTAATGTGGTTTCCCTGCATTACAGAGGAAACACCATTAAATTATATTTAAGAGTAATTTATTTGGTATTGGTTCTTTATTACATTCTCACAGAGTGTCTTGAGATTTTAAGGTATTTTTATACCTTTTATAATCTTGTAGCATACTTGTAAAAGAAAAACATGAGAGAAAAAGAGGTGGGCTACTGATACCTGACTTTCTTAATAATAGCCTCAGTCATGAGATGTCTTTTGAGAATGAACATTGGGCAGTGGAAGTCCTGTCTCTCCCCTCCCTTCACCTCATAGGTATGGGTTTGAGGGGTTTGGTTTTTATTTGTTTTTTAAATTTTTAGTAGGGTGATAGTTTAGCAACCAACACAAATCACAGGCTGTGGCACCGAGCCCCAGAAAACAAGCCAAATTTTCATGTCCATGTGGGGAAAAATCTGCAACCTGACTGGTAGAGGTGACGACCAGCAACAACTTGGTGGAAATGGAGGGTAGGGGTGGGGTAGGGCTAATGCAGCTCCTCACTCAGGGAGGGCCTTCTCATCTCAGGGATCTCCCTTCATGCCTGTTCTCATCCTCACTTTGGATTTACCTCCATGCTGGTCCATGTCACAGACCCCATCAACCTACTCACCACAACACCACACAGAGCTGATAAACAGAGAATGTCAGCCTGTGAGCTCTCTTTAAATAAAATTCCCACACATCTCAACAAGAAGGTAAGATCAAAACGAAAGCCACTATTGGAAAGTGATTATTTGCATATTGGCATCCTCACCTCATTCCAAAAAGGACTTGGAGAAGCTTATGGGAATAAACACAATACGGTAGGATAGACCAAGAAATGGCAAACTTTTTTTAAAAAAAGAACAAGGTAGTAAATATTTAGAGCTTTGCTGCCCATGCAGTCTTTCACAACTATTCAGTTTCATCATTGTCACATACATTTTTCATTCCCTGGGGTACAACATTGTACTACCATAGATCCATATGGTTGAACTGAACACACTTGCTGATTTCTGGAAATTATTTTGCATTTAGCTCAGCCAAATAATAGGTTATGGTATTATGGCACAAGGATCACTAAATTCCAGAATAGCAGTTATAAACCTGGTAAAATAAGCATCATGTTTTAATATACTGAATGGTAAAATAAAATTGAACTTGGGGAATGAAGGTTGCATTTAATAGTGAATGGCTCTATGCCAACACGGATTTTTCTTTTTTCCTCTGGCCTACATTCCTCTTTTCAGTTCCCATTCTTTGCAAACAGCACATTCTCTATTCTTTTTGTAACCTCAATTCATGAAAATCCTCTTCGTGCTATTATAGATCCAATCTTTCTAGCCCATTTACAACCCATCCATCTTGTTCTGCCTGGAGACCACTGCAGTATTCGATAGATGGACCCTGATGATGCCTTGCCACGGTCCTTCTGACCCCGACCACCAGTGCCATGAGAGTAGCCATTGTATGAGATGCTGTTCTGTCTGAGACTTGACCAGCCCAGTTGATGCAGCCTCTTCTCCCTGCTCTCAGCTGGCTTCTCCACCTGCCACCTTTTTCCTGTGCTGATAATGTTCTGCTATGTGGGTCACAGTTTTCCAGCTCAGTAGTTTTAGTCAACTTTGGCCCATAGGCCATGCTCCAAAGCTGAGATTTTCCTTCATATCATCTTTCTGATGAGAGTTTGAAAATGAGCTCACCACTTCATTTGATGCAGTGTTAGAAAATAGAGAAGTTGGATCTGTACCTCATTATAAAATGGAACATATTTAAAGATCCATTGTACTGACCTTCCCACATACTTTTATGTCATTGCTTTACCATATGTGATACATACTGTATCAGACTTATGATTGTCATTCGATTTCATTTGTTAGTCTCACATGAAATTCAATAATTAATTTAGTTCACTTTAAATTTACCACCAACTTCAAGTGGAAGCCAGTCCCCTCTGTGTTGGGGGTAGCTCCTGCATGCATGTTGAGTTGTGTTGCCCAGATTCCAGATTGAGAGTCCCAAGGCTGGGGGGAGGGAAGGCTGTGGAGGGGAGTGATCAGCACTGAGCTGAGTCTGAGGCCAGACTCTGCCACTGCATAGCTGTGTGGGCCCCTCTCTGATCTTCCCTGCACCAACTGTGGTTGGACCAGGGCAAGCCACATGAAACACTCAGTATGGAGGCTGACACATGAGGAGCCCTGTGTTGTTCCAGCATCATGAAATTCTCACAGCTTAAACCCAGGAGTACAATGAGGGATCCTGTCTCCATTTTGTAGAAATATCAGCCTTTATTAAAAGAAATCCAATTGACTGCCTTTTCTTGAGTCGATGTATTTCAAAGTCCAGGCATGCTTCCATGACCAGAATCTATGTTTGATATTACTATTGCTTATAAAAGTTAATGCTCTCCTCCCCACCTCCCTTCATCCTTTACCTTGAGTGACAGGGAGCTTCTTTAACTTCTTGACATAAGAGGTAATAGTAGTAACACACTTTTAAGTGCAGGTTTTAAGTGCAGAAGCATAGTTCGGGAAGGTAGTATGTTCAAATGTAACAGAAGGGCAGAATATAACATAAAATCACTCTGTTAAGACTGAACGTTTATCAAGGGGAAGGAAGAATGGGAAATTTAGTGACTTATTTACAAATGGCTATTGCAACTATCACCTAAAGCTCCAGACTTTAGAAAGATTATGGATGGCTTTAGTGGTATTTGAAAATTTTGTGAAAATAGTCAGGATTTAAGAAAAAAATCATTTTTGTTGTTGCTGTTCATAAAACATCATGCTACCATCGCTGGATTTCTCCATTCCCCTCAGTATCAGGGGTTGGAACAACGTGGACACTAGAAATGCAACCCTTTGTTCAGCAGCTACCTGAAAATCAGTGGCCCTTGAGCAGTCTTACCAAGACCTGCCTTTTTGTCAATTATTAATATGTCACCTGTAAAATTATTCTCCTTGTTCTGGAGCTGAAACTTTTACAAATCCTCTTTCCTCGTGTCATGTGGAATATACCATTCAGTTGTACCTGGAGTGCTCTGCTTGGCTTTTGATCTAGGCCTGGCAAAAGTTTTACACATCGCTAAATCATTTGTCTTTTTCTTTGCCTTCACAGGCAATTACATTTTTACAAGTCACACTATTTAATAAGAAAATGACTTACCTACCCCTCTTTTATTTACCCCCCAGTTGGAAGACTCACTGAGTTTATTAGTGAGTCTTAGATAGTGGTATAATGGAAAAAGAAGTTATCAGACATCACTAACAGCTTTAGTTTTTTTTTCCCCTGATTTGTATGCTTTGTGATTCTCAGTGAGATTTCATAGTCTATATTATTACTCAGAGCAAGTGCCACCTTTTGAGAAGGAATCTTAATTTTTACATTTGTTATTTCTCATAATGATTCATATTTTCATAAAAACAGCTCATTAACACTTAGCAGACAATGCTTCTGATTGTTTTTAAACTGTGACAAATGTCAGAAGATATTTTTGTAACATCTAGAACCGTTCTGTCCTTTCCATTTCCATCTAGAACCTGAAATTTCTATTTAAAGGAGCACACCATTTTCCATCTTGTTCTGAGAAAACCCTGATATATGTAATTAGGAGTCCCAGAGATAAAAGCAGCTAAAACAAGTCCCTCTAGACAAAAAGCCTACTGGAAACACAGAGGAGACTGTAGTGATTGACTGTCAGATTCTTTAGGTGATTAGCTGTAAGTGCAGTGCCCAAGGAGCCTATAAAGGGAGTGCAAGGGTGATAAATACAACCCTGGGAAGAATCATCCCTCCATCAAAAAAAAAAAAATCTAAAATTCCTTATTTTTACATGTACATTGCCTAAGGAGGAAGCATAGAATATTAGAAAGAAAACAAGTTTGTAATATGAGCTTTAATGTTTATATGTCTACATTATTACATAGCAGAAACATTGGTGAGTATTAAAAAATTTATTTTTCACCTGTAATATAATAAAAATAAGTGAAATAATATATGTAGGACCTAGGGTTGTTCAAGAAGGAAAGTGTCATCTATATACATGCATCTCCACACTGTAGTATCAAATTCAACATTCTGAAATTTAACTTTTGACTTTACCCATTCAGTGTGTTGCCTCAATAGCATTTTTCATCTCAGTGCATTCTGCTAGTTGCCTGAGCCAAAATTTGGGGGATTTCCTTTTTTCTCTTTCTCTGTCTCAAATTTCATATCTCATCCATCAAGAGAATTCTGTCAACCATATTTTCAAAATGCATCTAGACACTGACAGCTTCTCACCACCTTCACTGCTTTTACCCTGTCCAAGCCACCGTCATCTCTCATTTGGATTATTGCCATAGCCTTCTAACCGATCTCCCTGCTTCTACCCTTGCGCCAAGGTCCAGTCTATTCCTCAACACAGTGGTCAGGGTGATTACTTTAAAATGTAAGTCAGATCATGCCCTTCTTGTATTTATAATCTTCTGGTGGCTCCTTATTTCTCTGACAACAATAGTCATCACCTTTATAATGGCCTGACAGGTTCTACATGTGCTGGTCCCATCCAACCCCCACTCCATTATCTCCCTTGCTACTTCCTGAACTCATTTTCTACTATGAAATAAGTATTGTTCATCTCCTCCAAGTCTTGCTTGATTGCCACCTTCTCAGTGCAGCCTACCATTGTGTTTAGAATTGCTCTCCATTTCTTGTCCACCTTAATCTGTGTATTACAGATACCCCTTACCAGCCTCACTGACTCACTTTCTCGTGGTCTCTTTCTCTCTTTTCCTCTCTGGAAAGGCAGGGTTTTTATCTCTCTCTCTCTCTCTCTCTCTCTCTCTCTCTGTTGTCTGTTTTGCTTACTGATGTTTTCCCAAGAGCCTAGACTAGTACCTGGAAAATACAAAAGAGATGGGAGTGATTGATTGCTAAATTCTTTAAGTGTTTGCTTCTAAGTAAGTACAGTGCCCAAAGAGACTATCTTTTTAGATGGCAATGAAACATATCTGTTGAACGAATGAATAATCAATGACCAGGTTTTTCCAAGAGAACCATTGATGAGGATGGGAAATTTTTCAAGAGTGCTTTGACAAAGCACGTAAACTGGGGTGGAGGTGTCTGATGGTTCCCTTCGTCATCTGCCTGCTCCTTGTACTTTGTGTCTCTTGTAGGCAGAGGCATGACTAATTGCATGACTAACTGGAGTGAGCCGTCACATACCCAGTGGTGTGATGGAAATGGAAAATGATCTTAAAAACTGACAAAGTTTTTTGAAACAAGCAGAAGAAATATGTAGGGAATATGTAGGTATAGGACAGTGCATTTGGAGAGGAAAAACATAGTGGTAAACAGTAAGATAAAACATTAGAGATTTAATTGACCACTCATTGGTTCAAACAATATTAAGAGTATAGAGAATAAAGTTATAAGACGACCCAGGGTGCCTTGAAGAGCTTGGTTTTCTCCATTTCCATTGCATCCACCCCACCCATGAGAATGTTATCTCTATAAACACTGATATGGTTTAACGATGCCAAGAAGCCTTCCTGTGCTTAGGATTTATCTCAGCTGGAGCCACCACTATGCAGATAGATGGCTTAACAAAGTTCTCTAAATGTATAGTGATTTTTAGTGTAGAAAATGGCCATCAGTTATTCTTCATCTCTACAAAGGGCTGAACAGCAGAAAATGTTTTTTTTTTTTTTTTTTTTTGAGACCAAGTTTTGCTCTTGTTGCCCAGGCTGGAGTGCAAATGACATGATCTCAGCTCACTGCAACCTCCGCCTCCCGGATTCAAGCGATTCTCCTGCCTCAGCCTCCTGAGTAGCTGGGATTACAGGCGTCCACCACCATGCCTGGCTAATTTTTGTATTTTTAGTAGAGACGGAGTTTCACCATGTTGGTCAGGCCTTGAACTCTTGACCTCAGGTGATCCACCTGCTTCGGCCTCCCAAAGTGCTGGGATTACAGGTGTGAGCCACCGCCTCTGGCCCCAGAAAATGTATTTCAACTGTAGCGTGATGGCTATAGTTGAGATCAGTGAAATTGTGTTTGCCAGAGAGCGCGTTGATTTTTGGGGAGTAGGTTATAGAAACTCCTGAAGTGAGAACTTTTCTTAATTTCATTCTGCTAGAGCAGTTTGTACCAGCATTTCTCAAAATATGTCACAGCATCATACAGACCATTAAGTAAGGTTACTCTAAATAAAGATTCTACAGTTGTGCATTTCACAAGCACTAGGTTTCAAAAAGTTAAACATATTTCTTTACTGGGGGGCTTCACAAAGCCTTTATGTTGCTCTAAGCCTTGTGAGTTTCCAAAAGGGGCGTATCATGAATGGCATTCCTCAAACTTATTTGAATTTGGAACCCCTTTTTAGGGACTTCTTGTGGATAAATGTTCTTGCAACGTGCTTTGGGAAGTATCAACTTTGATATACAAAGGTGCCTGGGTCACTGGACCTTGAGAGTTCATTTTTGGGCAATGTTTAAACATTTCCTTGCTTGCCTTCTTTGTACCTCCAAAAACAACCGCCACCACAGCATCAACAAAAACATTTTCATATTATTACCTTTTTAGCAATACCACCTGAAAAAGGATTCCTTTGAAACCATTCCTTTTATAGTTTTCAACAAGGCAACAGTAACCTAAGACCTTGAAACCAATTATATTTTTCATTCTATGGAGGCTGTAATTAGAAATGTGTATATAGATGTTTGATACAACAGTGTCTGTGACTGCTGGGAGTCCTGATGGATGAGGGACCCTGCAAGGCCATTCATGAAATGTTACAGTTTGGGGAGGCAAGTTTCACCTAGAAGAGCTCATTCATTGGTATATTATTAATAAGTGGCAGTTTCCAAAGCAAGACCAAAGTAGCACCATATATATCTCTCTACAGGTATTTTTTTCTTTTAACTGGAATAAGTTAAAAATTTGTATCTTCACCTGCTTAACATGATTTAAAAGAAGGCACTCGAGGGAGTTTTCTTGGCCTTCTCTAAGTAGAAAGTGAGATGTGGCTGCCTCAAGACATTGTTACATGCACCTCAGCGGGAACCTTTCATGGAAGGTTCTTACAGGAGAGCTGGAGGACAGAGAAAAGACTTCCTGGAGCTTCCTGAGAAGCCAGTGTGTGACTGCTAAAAAATGGCTGCACTTTTAACAGAACTTCTTCTCAGACTTGCTCTCATTTTTGTATCCCATCTGGTTTTAATTGCCACAGGCCACCAGTATTTACAAAAGAACCTGGCAACTTTAAATGGCCAAATTGGCCCTGTTCGCTTATAACCCAGGACTCTGGCATTTGGTATGAAAAAGTGATTAATTGGAAAGAACATTTAGGAATGGCAGCTTCCCTGACATTGGCTGGAAAATTCTCTCCATTCCAGTCCACCACAGTTCCTTCTGATTTGGGTGACTTCGGCCAGTGAACCCTATTTTTCTGCCTGTTACAGATTTTGGTCCTCACAATGACAATGTCTTCACTTGGGGAGTAATTTATTGCCAAGGCTTGTTGAAGAAACAAGTTTGTTCTCTGTTTCTTTGTCTAAAACATTTTATTTTCTACTCCCTTGTAAGACTTTTCCAAGAAAAATATAACTCCCAACTAGTGACTATTGGATTAAGTTCTTACTTTTATCTGTATGTCAAGCCTCATATAGATCATATAAACCTTCTTGTCTTTTATATACACTTGAGATATTTGAGCTGTTGTGCTTTGGTGAAAATCAGTCTTTTTATGCATGCATCTCCCATGCTCTGAAATGATGAAGATAGGTGTGTGCATGTCTGAACTCAGAAAATTACAAGCATTTGATACCATTTCCAAACATAGGGACCTTTGTTTCCATCCTTTGCTACATTTCATTAGTCCATTAAATTCACCCTTTTAAGCCATGGCAGTTAGGCTGTTTGAAAACACAGTTCAAGGTGAAGGAAGAGCGTTATTCCATCATGTCAATTATTTGTGTAAAGAGCCTTTTAACCATCTTTGTGGAAACAAAATGATCCATCAGGATTTTGTGACCATATGTTTCAGAAGTAGGGATGTGGGTCTTGTCCAATGAGATGCAACATGTTTTGATTATAAAAGATATTTTGATTTTGGGTGAGTACATTGACAGATAACAGGAATCAAATCTACCATGAATAGTAATTCCTCTAGAAGTTCAATCATGGAAGCAAATCTCACCTTTTTTTCCTCTTTTACCTCTTAAGAGTTACTACACTTCTTGTTATATTCATGTGTAGTATCCTTAAAGTAAGCCAAACATATCTCCGTAGTTTGATAAAGTAGGATGGATGATTATCTTTTGGAAGTGCTACTCTAAAACATTTAGATCTTCACTAGGAGAGTGAAACTGTGTGAACTTTTTTATGGTTCTTTCTCCTTATTAATTTTAGATTATAGAACAAAGGGACTGTCTTCTGTATGACAATTCCAAGTGGATAGATGAATCATGCATTTTGGTGAGTGTGACTTGCTTTGTGAAAAAGTAAAACATTTTGTCACTTTCTTAACAGAAAAGAAGTGATCATCCTGCTTTGGAAGACTTTGCCCGAGGGATGTCTTCCTAACAGAAACATTTGAGCTATAGTCATAGGTAGAAGACCGCTTCTCCCAGGCATGGATATTTCCTATTTTCGTAGGAACAAAATGGTTTATGAAAATGTATCTGATTTATCCTTTTCCTTTTTTCTTCCATTTCATCAAAGCTAGATTCATTCTTGGCTTTATTGCATGTTTAAATCCATCTTGGTTCTTAATTGAATCCTTAGAGAGGGAATAAAATGATTAAGCGCTCCTATCTCTCTTCCACACTAGGTCCCCTTATTAAGTTAGAGTTCTTGACCTAGGATTCTGTGGCATTACTTGTGCCACAGTCATCTCCATTTTGCCAATCAAAGCTGGATATGGTAAGCATGATGCTTCAAAGCCCTGACACCTATGCAGCTGGCTGTCTCTCTCCACCCCCTCCTCAGACAGGTTCCCAGCACATGGCTGAGCTTTTGCCCAGATGTTCTCTCTTGATTCTCACAGGCACCCATCTAGTGCACCTCAGGCCACAGCCTCCCACTGAAGTCATGGGTGTCAGGTGGGGGTCCTAGGTGTACCTCACTCAAGCCCCCCTTTCTCCTGAGTCACTCCACTAGGTTAGATCTCAATGCACATGGACACATATCTCTTAGAGCAGCATCACTCTTCTGATTTTCCAAATCCATCTGCCTGTGTAAATACTGTGACAGATATGTTACAAGATTCAGTGATGATCACAGTGTTACATTCCTGAAAAATTCATCATAAACAGTGGAATATTATAGAAAGAAGCTTAGAACAATAACAAGTTAAGAATGTGTGTAGATTTAAATTTAGAAGGCCTTTGACCCACTTACCTGTCCACTTAATTTATTCATTGAACCCCTGTGGTCACTAGAATGTGGATGCTCCTTCACTTTCCTTACTAAGAAGGGCAGTTTCATTACAGTATTTGATTTCATATGTCAAAAGTGATTATTATCCACCCCTCAAGCTCTCTCAGATATAATATCGACTTACAAGTCAGTAACTAAGATCAGTCAAATAAATTATGTTTTATCCCACTGTGATCAGAGGATATGTATACGTCCATTCTTTCAGAGGATGGGTGTCAAGATGAGTGGATGAGGCCAGGTACAGTGGCTCATGCCTGTAATCCCAGCACTTTGGGAGGCTGAGGCAGGCAGATCACTTGAGTTCAGGAGTTCAAGACCAGCTTGGCCAACATGGTGGAAACTTGTCTCTACTAAAAAAAATACAAAAATTAGTCAGGCATGATGGCACATGTCTGTAATCCCAACTCAGGTGGCTGAGATGGGAAAATTGCTTGAACCCAGGAGGTGGAGGTTGCAGTGAGCCAAGATTGCACCACTGCACTCCAGCCTGGGCGACAGAGCAAGAGCAAGACCCTGTCTCAAAAAAAAATTTTTTTTTAAAAAGATGAATGGATGAACCATTTCAAACCTTTCACACATGCATTCAGAGTACTTGACAAGAAATATGTGTTGTGTGCCATAGATCCTGTTGCATCCCTGTAGAGTGTAGAATGCAATCTTGTGCTTGCATTTATCTGGCAAAGTAAACCAATAGCACCCTCTGTTAGAGGTCCTCAGCAGTGTCTCATTTGGCCACCTCCAGTTTCTGGGACATATCTGCCGTCAGTGTGTTTCTGCTATGAAGTCAGATGGTAGAGAAGGCTGAAATTCCTCCCCACACTTGGCATTAACTTCGAATACCAAAGCCACGTGGACTGTGGGAAGAGGACAGGCTTTAGAGTGACTCAGACCTCAGTTTGAAGCCCTTGCTTCTTACTGATTGGATCAACTAAGAGAAGTCTCTCATGCTCTCTGGCCCTCAATTTCCTCACTTACAAAAATGGAGATAATTATACCTACTTTGTAATATTATCATGAGGCTTCAGTGGGCCCATTTAAGTCAAGTGTCTGGCATATGGTATGTGCTTGAAAGATATTTGTTTTTCCTCCATCCTCTACCACTTGCAACTTACTGGGTTGCTTTTACTGCGGCCTGCCCCCTGCCCCATCTGTGTGAAACACACATATAATAATTTGTAAGTTAAACCAGACTTTCAAAGATGTCTTCGCTTACAGCTCTCCCCCATCTCTTTAGTCTTCATCATACTTTTTTAAATTCAATACATAGCTTTCTAATGCCTTTTACATTTTTGTTCAGAACCACAAAAATAAAGAAAGTTCATTTCTAACTTTTTCTATGTCATCATAAATTCCTGTAATAGTTGCATTCTAATCAGGAAAATATTTATTCACCAACATTTTTCTAATTTACTTAATTACCTTATCTCCTCACTAGTGCTTGCTTAAAGTGAATAGAAATTTTTGCACTGGACTGATATTTTTCAATAAAGTGCCTTCTAAAAGGTTTTTGCTTTTATTTTTTAAACATTTTAATACACACTTATGCAGAATATAACTTACATTTCCAAGTAAAGTTAGAAATTAGTTTATTCTCAATTAGAGTAAAGCAATCCGGGAGCTTCATGATTCCTCCTCACTTAATTCTGAAAGGTAATTGCTGTTGTGAGAGAAGACGTTTTAATCTCAGGAACTGGTGTTTGCAAGAAGGATCAGACTGTTGATTAAAAACAAATCAAACAAAAGGCTCTGTGCAAAAAAAAAAAAAAAAAGAAGTTCAGAACCAAAGACCAGAAATCTAAAATGTCAGTTTATAAATCCTCTGATTTTAATCGGCCTTCGGTGCTCTGTTCATTAGTACATCTGGCAGTGCCTCTTGGCAAAGAAAGTTTGGCATGGGAAAAAGCAATGTTTAAATTGGCTTAGGGAAGACATCAAGTATACAAGTCTACTTTTGTCTCTGAGGGGGTATAATTTCTTCATTCATTTCCCCTTTTAAAAATTTACTCCCTGTGCATTTATGAGTAAATTTTAGAGCTCATGAAAGTGAGGAAATGATATCACCAGCCTGAGCCAACTAGAGAGTGTGGGTTGGCAGCTCTGCTTTTGAGATCCTGAACCTGAGCCATTTTCTGTCCCAACTCAGTGTTCACATTATTTTCAGACAAGAGGAAAAAAATGTAAATGGCACCTTTCCGTGTCTACATTTGAGATGTGGGTTGTGCTCATGTCACAAGAGGACTGTCCCTAAACATCTCGCAGTGTGACCTTGTGACCACTGGGGCCGGAATCAGGGTCCCTTTCACCAAGGTGTGTGGCAGCTGTAACAGGCTCTGAGAATCGGCTTTAACTTTTCTTACTCTTTTTACCCATAAGACTGCCGCAGGATTCCCTTTGTCCCCACATTACTGTCATGGAGCTAAGATTCTAGATCTTGTTTGAGTCATAAGAAGTGGTCTATTGCATTTAATCATTGTCATAGCAGTAAACGTTCAAAACTTCCTCTTCTCCAGCTATTGAGAAATTGGTTTCAACCCCATTTGCCAGATAACAGAGCTCTCTCAGATTGATGTTGGTCTTTATTATTTCAATATAACATTTTAAATTTCTTATAGCCTCGGTGGCCTTAAACAGGGTGCTTCACTCGAGGGCTGAAACATGATGGAAAGACTGTGATGTACAGGACGAAGCCAGGGATGTGCTGGAGCCAGCTCCTAGTAGCTCACACCAGCCCGAGCTCCGATCCTTTTTTGAGGTCCACATTTCTGCCCTGTCCCCGTGTTTTCACTCGCTGGTCAATCCATCAGATTCCTGGCAGGAAACACATGGTGCGACCAGTGAGGTGATTGAAGAGAGTTTATGAAAGGACCATTTCCGGTGATGTGGGTAGTATTAGAGAAGCCACGGGCAATAGTGACACCTACCAGATGGCTTGAAGGGGCAGAGGGGAGGAACAGCCACCCAGCACCTGCTGAGAGCTGTTGCCATGAAGAGAAATCCAACAGGAGCTGTGCCTGTAGATAGGCGAGACCGGCTACTGCCAGAGTTGGAGGTGGGAGAGGCTGTTAAAACTTAAATGAAAGCAGACACAGCAGTGAAGGCCAGGTAGGCAACAGGGCCGCTTAGGGCTCACTGTAGCTTCCCAGAGAGAGTGAGACAAAGGCACATTTGTGCAGAGCTCAGGCAGAATCCAGTTGCCCAAAACAGTCAGGCACTTTCTGTTCCTCTAGCTTTGCATGGGCCATGCTGGTCTTGAAAGCGTTCTTCTTGGCTTCTGAGTTAGAACGTTGAAGATGAAGTCAGTTCCCCATCCATCAGATGCGGTCTGTATTATCTTCAACTTTGATAGCCTCAGTAGACATAAGGGCTTTTGTGGATTCAAAGTTCACAATATTTTAAATAAACCTGAGACCTGGATTTGCTCAAGTGGAGGCTGACAGTTAACATTTCCTGTAGATAGCAGTAGGGGTGTTGTGCCAGGAATCTAGATAAATTTAAACATTCATTGGTGACTACCATCAAGGAATCCGTAGTCTAACAGAGGAAGTAGACCCAAAAACAGATATAAAAAGGAGAGCCTAAGAAGTGTTCAGCCATACTAGCTGTCAGCCTGGCAAATGCCTTAACCCCGGGGCTGAAGAGGGGAGCTTTACTGTCATCAGCTTCCCTGTGGATTGATAAATTGGAGGCAGACAGCTAGATCCTAGGGCTGCCAAATAAATCCTTAGGATTGAAATATAACTATGCAATACTTAGAATCATGTGAACATACTTGTACCCTAAATGCAATGTACCATTTCTCTGAAACTTGTTTAGAGGTGAGAAAAAAAATAGTAATGATGACAATAATTACTATAATAAGCCTATTTTCCACCTCTCTGGAAGGGAACAGCCTGCGGTGTGTATCATCGGTGTTGAATTGGGCAGGAAGGAGCCCTGTTTTTATTAACACCCACACACTGCTGGCCAGGTGCATACATGTGTATCAAAGTGTGTGTGTGCGTGTCTTTGCCTGTGAATTGCACTTTGAAAGATGAACTGGAAGTATGAAGAGGAGGGGATAAACCAGAAGCTACTAGGCTGGACGGTTTCAGGAGCTGGATTTCCTCTGAGGCAATTTACGGCTCTGAGAAAAGCCCTGCTCTTCCCTTAGCTGCTTGGCCTGATGTGTATTTGTGCCGATGGTGACTGAGCGACCCTCTCAGCACCCCCGTCTGGGTGTTAAGACAGGATTTTCACCTCTTTGCAGCTCAGGGGGATGCTTTTCTCTCTTCTTCCCAACCAGAAAAGAAAAATCAAACCTAACACCTATAATAGCGAATCTATCACACATTTTTCCTACAGATATAACAGGTATATAGGTATCAATTCCTTTTCTTTTGTCTAGTTGATCACCAAATTAAAGCTCAGAGAAGTAAATTATTTTGTCTGAAGTTGCAGTTAATCAAATGTCATGTATTATAATGGCTGTGTTATTAGCTGTCTTAGTTCTCATATCTCTTCTCTCCCTGCTGTCTTTGGGAATAAGTGAATTTCCATTCGTTCTTTGTCCTAAAAATGAATGACCATGTGTACTTTGGAAAATACCATGAATTTCCTCTTTTTTCTCCTCATATTTTGTTAGGGTATTATTGAATCTACTAGGCTAAAAGAAGCTATAAATTATTTAGCCAATTTTGTCACATCAGTGATCCACAGGATACAGAATCGGGTTCCCTCCTAGTCTGTCTCATTCTAGAAAATTTAGCCATGTCCATGATGCACTTTTTTTCCCAACTTTACAAGTCTCTGCTTGGCAGATTGATATGTTTTTCAAATAAGTATGTTGTTCTTGAATATTTTTAATCTCTCTTGACTGAATGGGGATGAGGAAAGACAAAGCGTATTGTCATCCATTTAATTTGAAAATAGAAATTTTTTCATGAGTATTAATTTTCTCAAAATGAAATAAAACAATGAAACTTTATTGAGTTTGGGCACTGTGCCACTGTCTTCCATTTCCTGTTTTAAAAACAAAGGAAAACACCCCACAAGATTAGCAATGTAGGGTGGCGGGCTGTGTGTAAGCTCATAGCTCACAACGCCCAAAAAATGGACTTCAGGTTTTCAAGAAATCTTTGTAATGACCCAACTACATTCAACGCTCAGGCATACTTGCCTCCTTTTATAGTTGAGGCACCTTGAGGATGGAAGGGATAATATTGCCTGTCCAAGTACCAATGGTGTATCGGTGGCAGGGTCACTACCTGAGTCTGGATGTGGACCCTGAACACTCACTCACGTTTCTTTCTATGCATAAGGGACCCTTTAGTCACTGCCATTAGGTGAAGGTCAGTTCCATAGCAAAGTGTGCAAAACGCTCATTATCCACTTGCTGACATGACTAGTCTTATTGCCTGCTTTGTACATTCCATATCTTCTCCCAAGAATGTGCCTAGCTGTGACCACCCCTCATTCCCAAATTTGTCTTCCTTGTAAACGTTTATTGATATTTCAAGCCCAGATGTCACCTCCACCAAAAAGCCCTCTCTGCCTGCTCCCCTTCTTCTACCCAGTTTTTTCCTCTGTATCCTGCCTGATACATTTATTCACTTAATTGATTTATTCAGCAAATATTCACACCGGGCACTGAGCTAAGCAAAAGTCGTTCACCAGTGAACACAAGTCAGGAGCACTCTGTGCTCATGGAGCTCACATTCTAGTGAGGCAGACAGACAATAAAGGCAGTAAACACCCAGATACACACGTAATTACAACTAGAGTGATGTCATGAAGGAAATAAAGACTGTGCTGGTGTCTGAAGAAACTGGTGGAGGAACAGATGAACACGCAGCCCTGTGGCTTTTCCATGTGCACATCAGATTTCTGGGGGAGGCTGATCGCTCCTTGACTCTCCCCCCATCTCCGCATCCCCAACAGCAATCAGTGCCATGGGCATCCTGCTCACTACGGGTGTCCGTGAGTGAGGGGGGGGGGCAGGAAGGTTGGCTGTGCTCCCAACTGACACCCACCACTGAGATGAAGGCACCTCCCAACCTGGTCCAGCCTGGGTGACAGAGCCAGATTCAGTCTCAAAAAAAAAAGAAAGTGAACACCCACCGTAGTGAGGAAGGTGCGTTGGAAGGGTAAGAACGTGTGATGCTGGGGATATAGAGAGAAGCCTCTTTCAGATTCCCAGTGAGGGCTCTTTCCCAATAACCTTGATGAGGGGCCGTGGGGTGGCTCATTGGGTAAAACAGTATCTAGGGACATGGATAACAGCCTGATCATTGTTCTGTTTATACCTGCACTCTTAATTCTTAATTCTTAGGATGAATTACTAGGGTGTATTACATTCTCTTTAGAAACTTCTTTGGGAAGACGTGAATAATTTTGTAAAAAAGTATTTTAGCTTTCGAAGCATGAAAAGAAGTAATCAACTATCTCTATAAAAGTGCACCTATAAAAAGGGAATAGCAACTTACTACCCAATAATAAGCTCAGAGTGAATGAGGAACATTTGACAAGACACTCTTTATTTGGGGTCTGTTTTCAATTGTAAGAAGAAATACTTGCTCTTGATATACAGGATTCTTGTGAAGATTTTTTAAAATTATGTACTTGAAGGTAATGCTTATATAGTGTTGGTGGGAATGCAAATTAGTTCAGCCACTGCAGAAATAAGTTTGGAGATTTTTCATTGAATTAAAAAATAGAACTACCATTCAACCCAGCAATCCCACTACTGGGTGTATGCCCAAAGGAAAATCATTCTACCAAAAAGATGCCTGCACTTATGTGTTTATCACAGCACTTTTCACAATAGCAAAGACATGGAATCAGCCTAGATACTCGTCAACAGTGGATTGGATAAGGAAATTGTAGTACATATACACCATGAAATACTAAGCAGCCATAAGAAAGAACAAAATCATGTCTTTTGCTGCAACATGGAGGCTGTTAAAGGCCATTATCCTGAGCGAATTAACACAGAAACAGAAAACCAAATACCACATATTCTCACTTATAAGTGGGAGCTAAACCTTGGGTACACACAGACGTAAAGACGGGAACAATAGACATTGGAGACTCTGAAAGGAGGGAGGGGAAAGGGAGGCAAGGGCTGAAAAACTTGCTATTGGGTACGATTTTCACTCTCTGGGTGGCAGAAACAATAGAAGCCCAAGCCTCAGCATCACACAATATACCCTTGTAGTAAACCTGCGCATGTACCCCAAATTGAAAATAAAAATTTAAATTTAAACAAATAAATAAACTATACAGTTTAAATTCTCAAATTGAAATGTACTTTCTAAACCCAAAGTATAGTCTAAATTAAAAAGATAGCTTGCAGCTTTTAAATAAAATGAATTTGTTCTTTTTTTTTTTTTTTTTTTTTACCCTTTTTGGTCAGTTTTGGTAGATCATGAGTTGAAGGCTTGTTACATAATCTATTTTTTTCTTCCTTTAAATTCTGGTTCCTTTAGGTCAAAATGAGATCATTACTTATAGATCCATTAATTATTTAAGGGCAACTGTCCAAATCATATGGAATCACTCTCAGAAATTGTATTACCCTATATATTTTAGTCCGTAAAACAAATATTTTAATAACATCAAGGTGACAAGTATCCCAAGATGTTTAAAATCGTTATACTTTGTATAGTTAAAGTATTTGTAGCTTTTATTAGGGAGTTTTATTTACATTTATGAAATTCTTTTACTTATTCTTTTCCAATTATTAAAAATAATAGACTTTAAAATGTTTAAAGGAAACATTAAAAGTTGAAATATGGACAGTCTATTTGGTTTTTTTCTTAAACTTAAAAAATACATATTCTCCAGTACATTAAGTTTTGTTTTAAATATAACTCTCTTCAAATGTGTCTATACCATAAATACACATGGAAATACAAATGAGTTTTTACAATGTCATTGCAACATATTATCAGTAATAAACAGAAGTTTTTTTCTGTTAATTATAAGTGACATAAAAATCTTTGCAAATAAAGATATATAATAACAGAGGAGGTTCTTTGTCAATTTAATGAATTATTATAACGATTTTTTATTCAAAAAATCAATGGAGTAAATACTCGCTTGCCAGCCTAATTTGAGAGGTGTGAAGGTATGCTTCAATTCAAATGATTCTCTCTCCATTGGCATCCCAAATTTTATCATTAGTATTTGATTTTCTTGATGTTAAACTTTGCTTCTCCTGGTGAATTTTTTAAAGAAAATACATTATATTTTGGGAAGATATAATTAAATTCTCTGCAGTGCCTTACTGCATTTGATTTTAGCCAGTTGCTTTGCTCTTTGAGAATGGGGTGTCTGGAAAGACAGGGATTCTGAACGGAGCCAGAACCAAGAAGCAGGGTTGCTGTAAATCCAGCCCTAAACAACAGGTAGCGGTCACTGACTGTAGTGGGCCAATATCCATGTTTCTGGGTGGCAAATGTGTGTCAGGGTACATGTGTATGTTTTGACATGCCAGCCATTTTAGCCCGTCAGCTTTCTCTGTTAAATTCAGCACGCCGGTCAAAAGGTTTATATTGGTCTAATTTATTCATTTCTTCATTGAGAACCTGAAAGTGAAGGAGATGGTTAAATGCTGCCTGAAGTGGAATTCAACAGAAGTTAATGTTTCCTTCACTATTGTGTGTTTCAGAGACTGGAGCACAAGGAGGTTTTAGTCGGCTTGTTGTTCCTGGTGTTCCCGTTCATTCCAGCCAGCAACCTCTTCTTCAGGGTGGGTTTTGTGGTGGCGGAGAGAGTCCTTTACATGCCTAGGTAACTATTGCACGTGACTTCCTCCTACAAGACCTGCCCTCTGTCACCAACATTGATAGTTCCAGAGAGACAGTCTTCTGTGTGTAGACCATTAGATCCTCATGGGACAAGGGATATTATTATTTCAGCTTTAAAAACAGCCACACAGAAGGTTGGATGAGAGCAAATGTCCACACATGTACTCTTGTTTACAGTGGTTTACCTTCAGTTGCAAACTTTATAGTTTAAATGTGAAATATTAACTTGAGTATATTCAGGATTTTAGTAGTAATCATTTATCACTACATCTATGTCTAAATGGGTGTTATTAAACAGAATTATAATACTTTTCTAGAAATGTTTTTTGACTTGCATAAAAGTATTATGTTCAGTAGCATGATTGTAATTAACTTCTTTTGTTCGTTCTTTTTTCTTCAATTTAAAAATGGAAGCAATCTCAAGAAAATTTGTCCTTGGGAAAAGAACAATGATTTAAAAACTAGAAAAGACATTCAAATGTGTGTGATTACATAATGCCACTTAGCTCTGAATGTTTGAACTGTGCTGAAGCTTGTCTGTTCTCTTGTCTTATTCCAATGTCATTGTTCCAAGGCCACTTTTCTTTTCAGATGCTTGAAAATGTCACTGAATCAGGAAACCAAGTCTTGGTTCTGCCATTTATTGGTTGACTGACCTTGAACAAGACACAAAGCTTTTTTTGCCCCCAGATTTTCTCATTTTTACAATAGAGATTTTAGTAAACTCGCTAAAATTAACACTTTGGACTATGATACTGCCTTTTAGGAAAGTTCATTCTTCTTCTATAAGTATGAACTTTCCTAAAAGGCAGTATCATAAACCAAAATGTTAGGAGGAAATGAGTGTTTTTTATTTATGATATTGTACTAGAAATTTTAAAACACTTATAATTAGAAGTGAATTTCATAATCTTTGATTCCTTCAAACCAAATACCTAATAGCTTTCTTAACACTTTGCAGCATGTGGTTTTGACTTGGTTAAGGGGAAAGCAGCCCTTAATTGTTTACTGTGTCTTCAGCCCAATTTGGGAAGGAGATGAGTGCTTGATAAATACTATTCAATAAGGACAGAAATACAACACAATTCTTTATATTCTACGTGGTTTAAGGTAAGAGTCTTGTGAAGGCTTGCCAATAATAGGGAATACACCTGTAGTATAGAAGACCAAAAAGTGGCATCAATCTGTGTTCTAAATATGTTTTTGCTTAGACCAGTTGAATATATCTTAGCTTTTCTTTGTAGTACTGATGATTCCAATGGAATCATTCTTCATTTGATAGATATTCATAGAGCCCCTCTGCCATAAATGCTCTACTAAAATCTAGTGCTACACAAGTAAGTGAATCTCAGTGTCTGCCCTCAAAGAGTTAACTGCCAATTAACAAAATGGAATCTCTCATATTAAGCGTTTAATAGGTCCTAATATTTTATAAATACTATTGTATTCATTAATGCTATTTTGTCATTAATTGCATCAAAATTTTATTGCATTTTTATTATATTTCACTTACTATTATAAGCATGTTATATTCTTTATGTCAAGTAATTCACACTGTAGTAGTGGGTCACAGCCTGCCCCTGAAGTCAGAGGGCCTGCATTCAAACTCTGGCTTAAACATGATCGTGATTCCTCTAAGCTTGTTTTCTCATCTGCATAAAATGGAAATAGTAATAGCACCCAACTCAATGACATATTGTGATCATTAAATGAAACCGTTATAGGGCCAGGTGCAGTGGCTCATGCCCCAGCACTTTGGGAGGCTGATGCATGTATATCACTTGAACCCAGGAGTTTGAGGCCAGCCTGGGCAACATGGTGAGACCCTGCCTCTACAGAAAATAACAAAAACTTAGCCAGATGTTGTGGGATGCACTTGTGGTCCCAGCTACTCAGGAGACTAAGGTGGGGGATCTCTTGAGCCCGGAAGGTTGAGGATGCAGTGAACCATGATCGTGCCCCTGCACTCCAGCCTGGGTGACAGAACCAGACCCTGTCTCAGAAAAAATAAATTTAAAAACATGAGATGCCAGGCGCGGTGGCTCAAGCCTGTAATCTCAGCACTTTGGGAGGCCGAGGCGGGCAGATCACGAGGTCAGGAGATCGAAACCATCCTCGCTAACACAGTGAAACCCCGTCTTTACTAAAAATACAAAAATTAGCCAGGCACGGTGGCGGGCGCCTGTAGTCCTAGCTACTCTGGAGGCTGAGGAAGGAGAATGGTGTGAACCCGGGAGGCGGAACTTGCAGTGAGCTGAGATCGCGCCACTGCACTCCAGCCTGGGAGACTGCAAGACTCCGTCTAAAAAAAAAAAAAAAAAAGAGATGATTATATATAAAACTTAGAAAGTGTTTTGCATTATATATGGTCAATAAATACTAAGTATTTTTATTGTGATATCAGTTCCCTGAGGTAGCTGATAACATTATTGCTATTTTACAAAAATAAAACCTGGGCTCTGAGAGGTTGGTTAACTTGCCCCAAGCGGTATAGCTGGTGAGTGGCAGAGCTGGAAAACACATCCCTGTCTACTACAGATCTCTTACCTTCCAGACTATATTGCTTCCCTGATAGGAACATCTTAGTATTCTTCTCAATTACAAAATAAGAAGAAAATCTACACATAGTAATGGACTTTCGGCTCAACTCATGTGGTGATCAAGCTTCTAAGAGCCCTAATATCTAGTTCTTCAGGAGCTGGGGGTTCTGGGTGACAAAGATTTGTAAGCTCAGCAAAGTGTCATCTAGTTTAGATACAGGAGAATAATTTGTGAGGAAATAAAGGCAGAGTGAAGGGCTGGAATTTTTAACTAGACATTTAAATTTGATTCTTCTGAAAGAGACCTTAGGTAAATGTTACGGAAGCTCATAGTATTGTCGCCAACCCTTTGTGGGGTATCTTATTGTAAGAGGTTCATCTTGCCCGGGCAGGTATATCCTCCAACCCCCAGAATCATGCCAGCTCCGGCTTTTCCCATGCTGCCATATCTTAAATAAACCTTTCTATGACTCCAGTTTATTTTTTCCTAGGAATAAAATGCCCTTTTTCCTCTAGGAATAGGCTGATTTGGGTTAAAATAAAAGTACTGAAAAGAAAGCATCAATATTACCAACAGCAAGTGCCTGCCTCCCGGAACCAACCTCGGTTTTGCTTCATTTGCCAAATTCGGTAAAGAGGCACCCAAAATCAATTTCAGTAAACCAGTTTTCATTAAAAAGATGACTGTCCTTTTCTTTCCAAGTTCCTGCATCTATGCCTTGCAGCATTATCACTAAGTCATCTTTTTCTGAGTGTTTCTCTTTACTGCTTAGTGAATCCTGGACTAACACGTACCATCACCATCCCAGCCAGGCTACTTTCCCCCTCCGGAGATGCCATCTCAGCAGATGCCAGAGCCACCGGAGCAGAGGGTGGAGGTGCTTTCCTGACCCTTAGAGGTGGTCTGGGGGCTGACGAAAGGGTCAGGTCACTCAGCCAGGTTTACAGTCCTGACCTCATTTGAGAGTTTAACTTGGATTTCGGGAAACTGACACGGGAGGAATCTTAGGAATATTTGAATGGGATGCTGTACCTCTAGTGAATCCATCTTTCTTCACAGTCATTATTGTAACTAAAACTGCAAGGGAGCTATGTTCCTTTTGGCCCTGGATTCCCACTGGTATATAGAATTGTGCAATTGAGGTGGTCCAGGATGAGTTGGAAATTAAAGTCTGGGTAAGGAAACTTCTGTGTTGTGGCTTTAGAGAGTCTCTGATGACTTCATCAAAGCCATTTTATAAATATTGACAGTTTTCTTTGAAAATGGGGGACTAGGAAAAGATTTTACCTACCAGTGATGAGCTGTCCCTGTCTTAATGGAGAATAGCAAACAGTTGAGCTAAGAGTTTCTGAAATCTTCCCCAGAGCCACGGAGGATTTTACAGATGCTATAGGCATCCCGTGGATGTGTCAGAGCACTGGATAATGCCTGTTCCATTTAATAAACCTACATATAGGTGTTGAGAATGGTAAGAACATGTTCAAAATGTTTTTTTTTTTTAACCCAGGAATCATATCTTCATGAATCTCCTTCCATCCTGACCTTGACAAGAAACAGCCATTTTCCACAGCATTAGTATCCAGGCTCTTTTGAGGGAAAAAAAAAAAAAAATATATATATATATATGTATATACACACACACACACACACATATATATATACACATATATATACACACACATATATATACACATATATATACACATATATATACACATGTATATATACACATATATATGGTGTACTCAATGACATCCTGAAAATATAGATCATCACTTTTACGCAAAAGCTCTGTGTTGTCTCAGAAACTTTAGTGAACAATAGGAAAATGAAGTCAAAGGCTCAGTTGGTAATCTTTCTAAAGAAGGTGAACTTTCTGCTCATCAAATATTTGTTTCAAGCTATTATGAAGCCAAATCCTAGCTTTAGTTGCTCACACATGAATTTCACAGAAGTCATGTCCAGCCTCACTGAAGCCCGGGTGAATCCCTTCGATCCCAGGGGGCTGATTTGGCCATTTTACAAGAAAAGTGCAGAATGAGTCAGACCAACAGTGCTCTCTCATCCTCCGCCTTTATGCCTAACAATGAACTAGCCACTTAAATCTTGTGGCTTCTGTTCCTGCATCTCAACCCAGAAAAGGTCTGAAATATCACCTTCCTCTCATTTGCACTTTGAAATCTGTGGATAAAAGGGACAGAAATAGGCTATCTGCTTAGCATTGCATTGCTTCAGGGTCAGAGTTTACCACCAAAAGAAATTGGAATAATCTTTTCTTCTGGTGACAAAGCCAGTTTTGCAGATCTCCTTTTTGAACAGGCAAGAGAGTTTGGGGCTGAAATCATTCTTTTATAGAAATTTTGATCTTTTATTTTTTCCCAACAGAAGCATATAATTTTATGGCTATCTTTTTTGTGTTTTATAAAAACCACATTAAATTGCTACAATGAACTAAAATTTCTTAGAATGGATGAAGCAGAAGTAGTTGATGGTAGCTCTCAAATAATGTTACAGAAAGTGACTGAATATTCATTCACATGCCAGATTAAGGATGATTTATTCACTTCAGTGCCAAAGAGCAAATTCCTGTGCTACTTTAGGAAGACTTGAATGAGTAGAGAGAGGAAAAGAATGAATGGGAATAAGTGAGGGCAGAAACAATATTTTGGGATACAACTGATCAAGAATGACTGAGAAAGAAATAAAAGGCATTCACATTAGAAAAGAAGAAGTTAAATTGTCCTTGTTTGCAGACAACATTAAATTTATATACGTAGGAAACTCTGAAAACTCCACTGAAAAACAGAACTAATAAATGAATTCATTAGCGTTGCAGGATACAAAATTAACTTACAAAAATCAGTAGCTATTCTACACATTAACAGCAAACTGTCTAAAAAAGAAAACAATTCCATTTGCAATAGCTACAAAAAAATACTTGGGAATAAATTTAACCAAGGAAGTAAAAGATCTCTACACTGAAAGCTATAAAACATCAATGAAAGAAATGGAAGAAATAAAATTCAATGAAAAAATTCAGTGAGAAACGGAACTTTTTTGAGAAATAAAATTCAATGAAAGAAAAAATTGGAAAGATATCCTGTGTTCATGGATTGGAATAATCAATATTGTTGAAAAGCCCAGAGTGATCTATAGATTCAGTGCGATCTTTATCAGAATGCTGTCTTGAAATCATACCTCTCAATTCAAAATGGAATTTTCAGTCTAACATCGATTGCTATTGAAACAATTCTGTAGGATTTATTTCTCAGAATGCAAAAGGAGAAAAATTACCTCTGAAGTTACACAGCCTCTGTTACCTGATTTTGGGGATCCCTTCTCATGATCCATCTGTGTATTTGTATGCTTCTTTGGAGTTGCTAGAAGAGAGTGAATCCGTTTTGCCAAATATTAATATCAACAGGGAAATCACAGAAATTTGCTTTAGCAAATCTAATAGGAAGAAAGCTGAACTAGGACTCCACGCAGCCCTATCTGTCGCCCACTGGCTAGCCGTCTTGAAAGAATCATTGAATAGGGTCAGATTACTGTTTCTCTGTTTGTAAAACCAGAATGTTGGCCTTGCTCTGTAGTTCCCAAATGGTGGTTTTCACTGGTTTGGAGATAAACTATGGGGTGAAAGGAGAAAGAAAGACAATGTGGTGAATTTTGCATAAAGCTAAACCTATGCAGTTTTATAAAACTATGAAATTTTATCTTTCCTATATTTCTGGTATTCTTGTCATGATGATAAGAGCAGCAGGAGGTAGATGACCCTGCATCAGTTCCTTCTCCCCCATTCACCCCCATTTTTTGGGCGGAAGCTTTACTGGTTTTAGAAATAGAACATTTTTATAACCCCTCTGTTACATGATCTCTAAGGTCCCTTGCCACTCCAAATTTTAACTGTTTTGTGATTCAGCATAGCTCTGTAAAAAGGGTGCTTTTTTCCTCTTAAACTTTAAGCTTTATGCACTGCTTTTTTTTTTTTTCACATTTTATGGCGTGTCTGCCTGTGTCTGGTCAGATTCAGTAGGATGGGCCAGTGGAGAAGGGAAGATGTGTGCCCCAAGGTGAGGCAGGAAAGGGAGGAAGTCCATCTGCCATGGGACAGGCTCTCTGGAGGGCCCGACAGTGGCCCTACAAAAGTGGTCAGGAAGCCTTGGTGTGGAGCCTCCACTGTGAGGTTATGAGCAATCCTCATAAGCAGCAGGAACAGGTGATGCGTAGACGTTCACATGGACTGGCCAGGCATGGTGGCTCACACCTGTCATCTTAGCATTTTGGGAGGCCGAGGCAGGACAATTGCTTGAGCTCAAGAGTTCAAGACCAGCCTGAGCAATATAGTGATACCTTATCTCAAAAAAAAAAAAAAAAGAAAGAAAAGAAAGAAAGAAAAAGAAAAAGAAAAGAAAAGAAAAAAAAAGTTCACATGGACAAGCAGCCACTAGGAACGTCAGGAGGAAATGAGGCCCTGGACACTGAGAGGGCCACACAAGAAATGTCAGATGGCTGTCTTCAAGAGATGATACTGCGGATGGCTTGCCAAGAGAGGCAGCAGTCCCTGAAAACAGGTTAGATATTAGCCTGTACACAGAAAGTCATGAAGCGAGACTTGGGAACTGAGCTGAAGCCTAATATCTAAGCAGGGGCCTCAGACCACAGTCAGACTGTCCCAGAGGGTGAGTGGTGCTGAGTCTTTTGTCTAAAGCCATGACTGGTAAGGATGGGACAAAGCTGACCCACAAATAACAAGTCACTTTAGATTTTGTTGAGGCCAAGTCACAAGAATAGTAGAAAGCCTGGGAGCCAGGCAGAGCCAAATATTCAGTCTTTTTGTTTTATGGCTTCATTCTTTGTTTGAAATTCTCATAGTACAATGCAGTAGAGGGGCAGGAAAAGCAACGTAGGCTTGTCAGTGAGCCACTCAACTCAAAACCTAGGAGAAAGGTTGATGTGCATTTTCAGTTAAAAGCTCAATGCACCAGCTTTGTGAGGATGTGTGTGCTTATGTATAAGTAGACATATGGGTTGGCTAAATAACCCAAGTCCACTCAATTATTCTTTAGTTTCAGCCATGAATCCATTTGTTAATGTATTTTTATTATGGTCATCTTAAAACAACATGATTCTCTTTTCATAGCAGGAGTGATGAAAGGTGAGGGAGAAAGGCTGTGCATTTTTACACTAGGGAACAATGACGTGGGATCACCATGTGATCTGAAGACAAAGAATGAAATAAAACTTAATGATACCATTGGAAGGGAATCTGTGGCAAAATCCAAAGTTTGGGTAACGAAAAGTAAAGACGTCAGCCAGGCACAGTGGGTCACACCTGTAATCCCAGCACTTTGGGAGGCCAAGGGGGGTGGACCACTTGAGGTCAGGAGTTCAAGACCAGTCTGGTCAACATGGTGAAACCCTGTCTCTACTAAAAGTACAAAAATTATCCAGGCGTGGTGGCGCATGCCTGTAATCGCAGCTACTTGGGAGGTTGGGGCAGGAGAAGTGCTTGAACCCAGGAGATGGAGGTTGCAGTGAGCTGAGATGATGCCACTGCACTCCAGCCTGGGCAACAGAGTGAGA
Organism: Homo sapiens; assembly: GCF_000001405.40. NCBI lineage: Eukaryota > Metazoa > Chordata > Mammalia > Primates > Hominidae > Homo > Homo sapiens. The sequence goes on along the minus strand of NC_000012.12, from coordinate 29,596,033 downwards.
CTCCGTCTCAAAAAAAAAAAATGAACAACAACAACAATAAAACAGAAAAGTAAATTAAGAAGTCCTTTTTAAATCTCAGTGAAGGATTCTAACGTTCTTAAATATGGTATCTTCCATGTTACTCACCACAGTGTAAAAGAAAGCTGAGTCTGTCAAGCTTTCCTGTTTTCCTCTCATGCTATTCCTTTCCACGTCTTCAGTCCTCAGTGGGACAAAGCCTTAGTGTCCAACAGTCAAAGACTCTCTGCTGGTTTATTAACCTACAAAGGGGTTCAAAAGTTGATTAAAGTTCTACTTCAGAATACTATGGGATAAGATTAGAAAGATTTTAACTTGAATGTGTCTGTGCCTTTGCTCTCGCTGTGCCCTCCTGAACTGCTCCATCCAGCCCTTTGGGTCCTGAAGGCAGAAGAGGATGTGAGAGCTAGGAGTTAAGTCTCATCCAGAGAGAGCTGCTCTTGAGGGCAGTGCCCAGGAAGGGAGGGACCTGGGACTGCACCAGACTGGTGGTCAATCATCAAGGACTGTGGGGCAGTGCTATGGGAAGGTCATGACCAGGAAGGGAAGCAGAAGGACTTTGCTGAGGGATTCTACCAAATGTTTAATAGAAGCAGAGATTGTAGATCACTGACCAATACAATATTAGAACAGAGCAATGGCTAGAATGAAGTGAGCAGAGAGTAGGTCAAGGTGCCTGTGGGCTGGAGATCCACTGGCCAATGTGTTGTGCTCAGTCAGTTGTGCTTGGCCAAGGGTACAAAGTGCAGAGAAGTCTGAACAGTAAATTATTGGACTGGAATTCTGCCCTTAATATTACCAAACTCTGTTAGTTATAAAAGATGAATGTTTGTGTCTGTTAAGCTCTAAATGGTGAATAGCAGATGTCTTGGAAATCAGGATTTGAAAGTAAAATTTAATATAAAGTATAATTTGGATTCAGATGAGACTGAATACAATAATACATGTGAGAAGTGTAAGCTATGCCAGGTAACTAATTGGAAGTCATGATTTCAATCTACCTCGTGCAAATGAGATTGGGTGAATCAAAGTCAAAAGAAATCAAAGAAACATAAATATAGGCCTCTGCTTTTTCTTCCTTCCCTTTCTTCCTCCTTTGGTTCTTCAAACCTCTTCATGTCGTTTCTAACCTTGTGTGCTCAAAAGTGAGCAGCTCAAAAGTGAACAACCCTAGCACTTAGCAAGTTAGCATTCTGCAATGCCATATTGAAGGGGGTTGTGAAATGTGTCTCTGTGGATGGAAGAGAGAGACTCAATTGCAGATGCTACACACCCAGTGCCCTACAAAGTGGGCCGTAACTTTGCGGGGAGGATGTGGGTGGACCTAAGTGTTGCCATTTCAGCCTCTTGTTCATCAAGCTCCTTTGTTGTTATTGGTGAATTTCTTTCTTTCCTTTTCTCTTAGAGAATACATCTCAAACCAGGGACTCCTTATGCAGATTTTAGTAATCTTAACAAATCCTCCTTACTCTTTTAGCAGCCTTCTTTGTCTTGTTTTCATTAGGATTGGGACCACCATTTTGTTTGCCTGTGTTTTCTCTTAATACCCAGCATGATAGATGTTGGTTACAAAAGGAATTGTAGGGAATTAAAGAACGATGGACACATTATGAGGCCTATGCCTATGCAGTCAGGTCTGTATTAATTCATGGGACTAGAGGAGAGGACAGCAACAAATAGTGGATTACCCAGTATGCCTTTGCTTCCAAAGTGAAGTTGCTGGACTCTCAAATATAGTAGTTCGTGGAAGAAGCAATAATAGAACTCAGATTCTCAAGATGACTGTGCTGTAGAAGAGTAGAGAAGGTGGTTTTCCTAATTTTTTGGAGGCAGTTTTAGAGTCACTCAGCTTTGATCAAAGGTCTTCCAAGCCTTGATGGAAAATTTATTAATAATTGAGACCACGCGAACCAGGCTGGGGTGAAGGAAGCCAGTCCTGGAGTAAAGGCACCATCAAGGGGAAACAGCCAGGCCCTGAATATGGACAGTTCCGGTGATAAACAGTCGTGGGTCTTATTATCTTCAAGGTCAACTTGGATTGATGGATTTTTAAGTTCACCTTTGTTTCCATGTCAGTTTCTCACACCTTCAACCACAATGGTTCAACTACGCTTATGAAGCAGCCCCTGCTATGTTTTAGTTGCTTAGGGTTCAGAAATGAATAAAATGTTATTCTATCCTAAAAAGAACCTGCTTGAACTTCCAAACAGTTAATACTTTTATTTCTTATCAGGTTTGAATGCAAAAGCTTCCTCATTATGTATTAATTCACCAAAGAGATTATACTTTACATTGTCTTCATTTTCACAAAAGTGTACATTGAAGAGTAGGGAGAGGTTTGAAATGATTGTAAGGGAGGATTTGCTTAAGCGCTTGTTTGTGTCCCTGGTGTGTGAATGAACATTAACATAAACACGTGACTACAATAGTTCACATACTACCAGTGTATCTTACCTTCTGCAATATCTGTTCTATAAAAATGATGTTTGAATCAAACCTTTTTGAAGCAAATAATAGCGCACAAGGAAATTTGCTCTTAAAAAACTTATAATGAAATTAGATATTTTGGGTCAATCTGGACTTTGATAAACTGAATTTTCTTGAGGTGTTATTTACAGATCTAATCACATATTTTATTAATGTGTAACTGATAGAGTAGTATACTGAAAGCACACATAAACACAAAAACACTGCATTTGGTACCTTTAACTTCACCTTTAGTTTACAGAACACGTTTACATACATTATTTCATTTATTCCACACAACAATTCTTTGATGTGGGTTTGGCAGGAAATATTGAGCCCTTGTCCTATGAATCACAAAGGCTCCATGAGAGATTGTCCTGTGCCCACAGAACTCACGGATGGCAGAGAAGAGCCCAGCTCAGCCAGAGGAGAGCCCAGCTCAACCAGAGAAGGGCCCAGCTCTCTTGACCCATTTCCAGACTCTTTCATTTCCAGTGAATTCCCAGTTCCCTTTTCCTCATTGTGAACCTCCAAACATAAAGTCTGCACTAGAACATTTGTGTTCCACTGTACCTAATAGAGTCCTCTGGGCCTTAGGAAGTTACTATACTTACGGTAACCTGGTTTTGACATGTCTGTTTCTACCTGGAATGCATTCAAACTTTACACATTTCCTGCTTCTTACTCTATTTAGCAGAAAAATAATTGCCTAACAGTAATATCATTATAGTATAATGTTTAATGTTATAATGTATTGTTTTGTGTGTATCAGGCATGGTGCACTACAAACAATTGTTATTCCCCCTCACAGTATAAATAAATTAAGAACTAGAGAACTTAAATAATTTGTCCAGGATCAAACAACAGTGTCAGGGTGGACATGCAAACCGAGGCTTTCCTGATGCCAGAGCCCTGCCTTATTTAATACTAAATGTTTCATAAATTTTGGAGCTGGTAGGTGGACTATGAGGCTGAGAGGAGTAAAAGAAAATTAGGGAAGTTCTCAGAAGGTGAAAGCATTGGCATTTTTCTCCCAATTGTGCCGTAGACATGCTGGAAAACAACAGAAGAAATCTATCTCATGGAGAAATATATATAAAGAATCCTTTCATACTTACCCCAGGATCTCAGCACCTAGCATGGGAGGCTAAGGAAATACACAGAAATGTCTTTGGGGATTCTTTTCTTGGAATATGAATAAACTCTCACTTCCAAATATATTCATTCTTCTGGAAAATTTCTCCAACCATTGAATGTTTGAGATAAAAAACGAGGGGAGAAATGGGGACCCTAATCAGATTGGAATGAAGCTAATTAGGACTAGGTTTCACTTAGATTCTCTAAAATTGGGAATTCTTTAAAAGAGTGTAATGGTAAGATTGCCTCTGTCTTGTATTAATAATGCTATTTATAGATACTCTCAGTGGGCTGTTACAGCTTGTGGACAAATTAAAAGGTAGAATTTCAGTTCTACTTATAGCAGAAAGATACTCTTTGTTGCATATAATTCAACAGAAAGTGAAGCCATAGCAAATATCATAAAATGTCTGAGCCAGAGGTAGAAAGCTGTCATCTTTCCACTTCTGTGAATTCTGCTGTAAATGTGAATGAGAAGTGTTTTGTTTTGTTTTGTTTTGTTTTCACTTAAAAGCTTCTTGGTGAGTTTCAGGAAAGTACATTTGTACTAACTATTACACAACAATTCGCTGCTAACAAGTTCCCAAACAACAGATTTAAAACATTTGTTATTCTAATGCAAAAGGACAAACATTGGTGATTTGCATTTCCTATTAAATTCTCTTCGAATGTGCATCATAAAAGCAGAAAGAGAAATGCCAGTGTTTTTAGTTATTTAAGTGCTGCATGCCTAGCAGTGTGTCAGCAAAATCAAAACTGGAGATACCACCAGCCTGTTATGGAGAGAGGTGTCTCTGAGTGTCAGATCGCTACATTCTCGAAGGCAGCAGTGGTGGTTCTTTCTCAAACGTGCTTTGAAAATGCATCTTAGCACTGAGCTAAACCACACTGTCAGCAGCCTGAGTTTGGCTTTGGGCTCTCCAGGTTTTGATTTTGTGAAGTGTCAGTGTTTGCACTGGCTCTTTTGTGCGTGTAGTGAAGGTCTCTGATCAGCAGCCCAGAACCTCCTTCACCAGTCTGACCAGAGCAAGCCGGACTCTGGTTTCATCTCCCCAAAGGCCAGGAAAGCATGTCGTTTCTCATTGGCTTGACTTCCCACTTTCAAAAGGAGGCCATGTCCTGCCCCTAGCGATGGAGGGAAAGAGTGCGTTTCTCTCCCCTGCTGCTGAGATCTGCATTCAAGCAGATGTTGAAAGATGAAGTTTCATAGTGGAGAAACGTCTTGATCTTTGTGATATTTGTGTCAGACTTTTAAGAATGTGATACTCTCTAAGAAATTTGCAAACCTAAGTAGAGATTATTTTGTATGGCTTAACATTTCTTTAAACCATATGTCAATAATAAGGATATTTGATTTAACATTTTTCATGTTATTTGATACAGGTGCTGACTGAAAAGGAATGTGTTCTCCTTCATTCTGGTTATAGCAGGGATCCACAAACTATTGTCAACCTAAAAGGAAGAAGCTGAGGCAAAATTAATAAAGCAGGGAGTTTATTTGGGCCAAGGCTGAGGATCCCAACCCAGCAGAATAGATTCAAGTTGCCCTGAATTTACACACTCCAATTAGCAGCAGTTACAAGTGGGTTTTGTTTAGTTTGTTTTTGTTTTTTTGTTTTGTTTTGTTTGAGACGGAGTTTCACCCTGTCACCCAGGCTGGAGTTCGGTGGCACAATCTCAGCTCACTGTAACCTCTGCCTCTTGGGTTCAAGCAATTCTCCTGCCTCAGCCTCCCAAGTAGCTGGGATTTCAGGCGTGCACCACCACGCCCAGCTAATTTTGGTATTTTTAGTAGAGACAGGGTTTCACCATGTTGATCAGGCTGGTCTCAAACTCCCGACCTCCTGATCTGCCCGCCTTGGCCTCCCAAAGTGCTGGGATTACAGGCATGAGCCACCATGCCTGGCCACACGTGGATTTTTAAAGGCAAAGGGGGGACAGGGAGTGGGCTGATACAAAGTTGTTTGTCAGGAATTCTCATTGATTTACATTGAATCACGCTGATTAGTGTTGGCTATCCATTGTTAAGCTGCAGGGTGTGGGTTATAGTGTCTTGTGTGGTGTTATTAGGATACTTTATAGCCACTTGTGGCAATAACAATCAGTTTCAAAAGATGAATACATAGCTCAAAGAGCGGAATAGGATGTGATTGCAGTCTCATTTTAATGCTTCTCTGGGCCTGATAATGAAAAGGGCTTCATTCCTCAGATAAAGGTTTTTTTTTTTTTGTTACTGTATATGGCCCATGAGCCAAATGTGGCCTGCTGCCTGTTTTTATAAATAAATTTTACACAGCCATGCTCATTTGTTTACATGGTGTGGATGGCTGTTTTCCTGCTACAAAGACAGAGTTGAATGCTAACGACAAAGACTGCGTGGGCTGAAAAGCCTGAATTATTGCCAACCCCTAGATTATAGCACAGCATTAGGGCACTGAGCTTCCAGATCTAGCCCATTCCTAGCTTCTGGGGCTGTGGGCAAGTTACTCAACTCTTTTAAGCTTTAGTTTCCTCATTTATGAAATGGAGGATAATGAGGTTTAAAATTTTTAATTAGATAATATATTTAAAACCAGTACTGTCCTTGCCCGCATGCCCTGCAAATATTGTGGACAGGCCCATCAAACCACTTAGCACAGTGCCTACCGCACAGGAAGTGCTCACTAGACACGCAAACATATATTGCAGCTAAATGTTTGTGTTGTTAGCTTCCTTATGCTTGTCTTCTGCCACTTTGTGGCCATTGCTCTGGAGTTGTTGGGATCCCAGTGTTCTCCTTCCCCTTTGTTCTACCAGATGGCAGCTCTGTTCCTACAAGGAGGCAGAAAATGACTATTGAGATGTCATGAATGCAGTAGTTGGGAAGAAAGTAGGTGATGTTGTGTGATGAGGTGTTAGGAACACAGGAATCAGCTGGTCAAGTCAAATCCTCTACAGCAGGACAGCACATGGAGTGTGGGCTCTGGAATCTGAAATTCCTGGGTTTATATCTTTGCTCTGTTATTTATTAGATGGATGACCTAGAAACCAAAAAGTATCTGAGCCATGTCTGAATCAGTTTAGAGATTTATTTTGCCAAGATTAAGGACATGCCTGGAAGAAAGGAACACAGAATCACAGAAACAATCTGCAGTCTGTGCCTTTCTCCAAAGGTGATTTTGAGGTCTTTAGTATTTAAAGGGGAAAAGTAGGCTGGAGGGAAAAATGGGAATGTATGGTCACATGACTGAATCCACATGTTGCCAGAGAAAAGGAGCAGATAGGGGAATAGTCAAATATGTATTCTTCTCACGCTCAGTAAATCGGGGCTTTACATAAGATAAGGTGAACCTAGAGTAGCTATCTGTGGAGATAGTTAAGCTTTTATCTGTAGCTAACTGCTTAGGAACAGAAGGAAAGGTAGTTTCTTGCATGATTCAGCTTTCAACTTAATTTTTTTTCCTTTTGGCATAGTCAATTGGGGTCCCAAGAATTTTTTTTCCTTTTGGCATAGTCAATTGGGGTCCCAAGACCTAACACTATCACAAGACTTAATTCAGCAAGTCAGTTAACCTTTTTCTTTAGTGTTTTCATGGGTTAAACATTAATAAAGGTGATCCATAGGGTTTTAAGGATGTATCGGCGTGGCACATTCCCTGTGCATTTCAGGTCTTTCTCAAATGTCAGTGAGGACTTCTGTGACCACCCACATGAAAATCTCAACCTCTTCCTCTTCTTAATTTTTATCCATGTAATGTATCACCATGTACATGCCCTGTGTGTTTTTTACTCATTCGCTAGCTGTTGTTCCCTACCCATGTGAATTCCACAAGGATAAGGATTACTGTCTCTTTGGTTCACTGATATGTTCTTGATATCTGTAATAGTGTTAGGTACATAGTTAAATGTTTGTTAAATATCTGATGAATGAAAGAACGGAGCCCAGAGGGCTTCATAGGATGCCCTGCTCAGTTTGGGTTGGGAGCAGCTGGGGCTAGAGGAACAGGGGGCAAAGCAGGCTTATGAACTTGAGCAGCCACTGTGGTCAGGCACAGCAAATGACACCAGCAAGGTCAGTTGTACAATATAAATAAGATTTATAGAAAAAGCTCCATACCTTTAAGGTTGAACCAGGGAGTTGTGGAAGTGAGAAGAGGTTTTTGGTTTGGGTTTTTGTTTTTACATTAGAGACTCTGTTCTGACAAGTGCAAGGCTCTTGCAAGATACCTGTGGCAATCAAATCCAGTGCTTGTGGTGGGGGTTTGGAGAACATGGGTCTCCTTAGCTCAAATCATCCTCCTCAGTGGGGAGTAGGATGGTGACTCTCTTTGGCCAAACCATGAACCCTAAACTTTATGGAGCTGGACTAACCAACTTATAGGACTTGAAGAAAGAAATGAGAGCTCCAACTTCATTCCCAGGGTCTCCCAAGTCAGAAACCTCAAATGCCTCTCTCTTGTTTTTCTGCTCTTGATACAGAGAACAGAAGATGGAGAAAAAAGTTTTTTAAGGAGGTGTGTTTAGGAATGAGAATATTTAGTTGTTTCTATTAGCTAGAGCAACCTGATTCACTAGACTGGAGTTGTCTGATTGTGGAGCCTGTGTTGTATTATAAATATATGTTTAGTGCCTAGGATATTGCCAGCCACATAAGAGAAAGAATGAATAAAAAAGAGAACAAGTATATGGGCTGTATTTACTTGGGGCTGTATTAATACTTCTGATAGTAATAGTCTCCAATATAGGATGGCTTTACACAAACTTGCTTCTTTCTTAAGATATTCTGTAATAATTTGTAGTTATCAATTTTGGGAAGAATCACACCTGTAATCCCAGTACTTCGGGAGGCCAAGGCAGGTGGATCTTTAGCCCAAGAGTTCAAGACCAGCCTGGGCAACATAGCGAAACCCCATCTCTACAGAAAAATACAAAAATTAGTTGGGTGTAGTGGTGAACACCTAAGTCCCAACTACTGGGGAGGCTGAGGAGGGAGAATCAGTTGAGCCCAGGAGGTTGAGGCTGCAGTGAGCCATGATCATACCACTACAGTCCAGCCTGGGAGACAAAGTGAGTCCCTGTCTAAAAAAAATAAAAAAATAAAGAAGAAAAGAGAGAGGAATAAAATAGATGCAATAAAAAATGATAAAGGGGATATCACCACCGATCTCACAGAAATACAAACTACCATCAGAGAATACTATAAATACCTCTACGCAAGTAAATTAGAAAATCTAGAAGAAATGGATAAATTCCTCGACACTTACACCCTCCCAAGACTAAACCAGGAAGCAGTTGAATCTCTGAATAGACCAATAACAGGCTCTGAAATTGAGGCAATAATTAATAGCTTACCAACCAAAAAAAGTCCAGGGCCAGATGGATTCACAGCCGAATTCTACCAGAGTTACAAGGAGGAGCTGGTACCATTCCTTCTGAAACTATTCCAATCAATAGAAAAAGAGGGAATCCTCCCTAACTCATTTTATGAGGCCAGCATCATCCTGATACCAAAGCCTGGCAGAGACACAACAAAAAAAGAGAATTTTAGACCACTATCCTTGATGAACATTGATGCAAAAATCCTCAATAAAATACTGGCAAACCGAATCCAGCAGCACATCAAAAAGCTTATCCACCATGATCAAGTGGGCTTCATTCCTGGGATGCAAGGCTGGTTTAACATTCGAAAATCAATAAACGTAATCCAGCATGTAAACAGAACCAAAGACAAAAACCACATGATTATCTCAATAGATGCAGAAAAGGCCTTTGACAAAATTCAACAACCCTTCATGCTAAAAACTCTCAATAAATTAGGTATTGATGGGATGTATCTCAAAATAATAAGAGCTATCTATGACAAACCCACGCCAATATCATACTGAATGGACAAAAACTGGAAGCATTCCCTTTGAAAACTGGCACAAGACAGGGATGTCCTCTCTCACCACTCCTATTCAACATAGTGTTGGAAGTTCTGGCCAGGGCAATCAGGCAGGAGAAGGAAATAAAAGATATTCAATTAGGAAAAGAGGAAGTCAAATTGTCCCTGTTTGCAGATGACATGATTGTATATCTAGAAAACCCCATCATCTCAGCCCAAAATCTCCTTAAGCTGATAAGCAACTTCAGCAAAGTCTCAGGATACAAAATCAATGTACAAAAATCACAAGCATTCTTATACACCAATAACAGACAGAGAGCCAAATCATGAGTGAACTCCCATTCACAATTGCTTCAAAGAGAATAAAATACCTAGGAATCCAACTTACAAGGGATGTGAAGGACCTCATCAAGGAGAACTACAAACCACTGCTCAATGAAATAAAAGAGGATACAAAGAAATGGAAGAACATTCCATGCTCATGGGTAGGAAGAATCAATATCGTGAAAATGGCCATACTGCCCAAGGTAATTTATAGATTCAATGCCATCCCCATCAAGCTACCAATGACTTTCTTCACAGAATTGGAAAAAACTCCTTTAAAGTTCATATGGAACCAAAAAAGAGCCCACATTTCCAAGTCAGTCCTAAGCCAAAAGAACAAAGCTGGAGGCATCACGCTACCTGACTTCAAACTATACTACAAGCCTACAGTAACCAAAACAGCATTGTACTGGTACCAAAACAGAGATATAGACCAATGGAACAGAATGGAGCCTTCAGAAATAATGCTGCATATCTACAACTATCTGATCTTTGACAAACCTGACAAAAAGCAATGGGGAAAGGATTCCCTATTTAATAAATGGTGCTGGGAAAACTGGCTAGCCATATGTAGAAAGCTGAAACTGGATCCCTTCCTTACATCTTATACAAAAAATTAATTCAAGATGGATTAAAGACTTACATGTTAGACCTAAAACTATAAAAACCCTAGAAGAAAACCTAGGCAATACCATTCAGGACATAGGCACGGGCAAGGACTTCATGTCTAAAACACCAAAAGCCATGGCAACAAAAGCCAAAATTGACAAATGGGTTCTAATTAAACTAAAGAGCTTCTGCACAGCAAAAGAAACTACCATCAGAGTAAACAGGCAACCTACAGAATGGGAGAAAATTTTTGCAACCTACTCATCTGACAAAGGGCTAATATCCAGAATCTGCAATGAACTCAAACAAATTTACAAGAAAAAAACAAACAACCCCATCAAAAAGTGGGCAAAGGATATGAACAGGTACTTCTCAAAAGAAGACATTTATGCAGCCAAAAAACACATGAAAAAATGCTCATCATCACTGGCCATCAGAGAAATGCAAATCAAAACCACAATGAGATACCATCTCACACCAGTTAGAATGGCGATCATTAAAAAGTCAGGAAACAACAGGTGCTGGAGAGGATGTGGAGAAATAGGAACACTTTTACACTGTTGGTGGGACTGTAAACTAGTTCAACCATTGTGGAAGTCAGCGTGGCGATTCCTCAGGGATCTAGAATTAGAAATACCATTTGACCCAGCCATCCCATTACTGGGTATATACCCAAAGGATTATAAATCATGCTGCTATAAAGACACATGCACACGTATGTTTATTGTGGCACTATTCACAATAGCAAAGACTTGGAACCAACCCAAATGTCCAACAATGATAGACTGGATTAAGAAAATGTGGCACATATACACCATGGAATACTATGCAGCCATAAAAAATGATGAGTTCATGTCCTTTGTAGGGACATGGATGAAGCTGGAAACCATCATTCTCAGCAAACTATCAGAAGGACAAAAAACCAAACACCGCATGTTCTCACTCATAGCTGGGAACTGAACAATGACAACATGGACACAGGAAGGGGAACATCACACACCGGGACTGTTGTGGGGTCGGGGAAGCGGGGCGGGCTAGCATTAGGAGATATACCTAATGCTAAATGACGAGTTAATGGGTGCAGCACACCAACGTGACACATGTATACATATGTAACAAACCTGCACATTGTGCACATGTACCCTAAAACTTAAAGTATAATAATAATAAAATTTAAAAAAAAGAATAAAAGAAGAAGTAAGAAAAAATAAAATAAAATAAAAATAGATTTCAACTAAAATACATACAGCATTAATGGGTACAAACTACAAGTTTATATTCTTCTGTGTCCAAGTGGCAGGCAGAAAGTATCTCTGTTGGTGCATAGATGATGTGAGGGACCATGTAGCACCAAGCCAAAGGCTTTTAGAGACGTAATGCTGATATACAAAGTGCTACTCAGATAACATGTTAACCCTGCACCTACCGGTACAGCTAGGCATATCAATGCATCTTGTCTGTGATGAGCTCCAAGTTGTGAGGCTCAGGAGTCGGCCTGTGGGTAGATTTTCCAAAGTGTAAGGGCTTCAGCTGGCCCTGGAAACAGAGAACAGTCCTCCTTGGTGACCAGCATCCTTCCAGGACCTGACACAGAGCTTTCAGACACTCTCCCTACAAAGCTGTGGTGTGACCTGCTGCAGCATAAACTCCGAATTTAGGCGCATAGTGCCAATAGAGTCATACAATGACAGTGACATGAGGGAGCTTGGGTCAGAGGAGCCATTCAGGACCCAAGAGCTTATATGTGGGACTTCTCATGATGCCTCAGCTGCTGAAATCCAGGGCACTTTAAGCCTACAAGATGACTCTCTCATTCCCTACACTGAAGAAATAGCAAGAAATATTTCTACAAGAAATAGCAAACCTGCTAGTGCAGCACTTTAGAGAACTAACATGTTAATATTGTCCAAGGCAGGGGAGTTTCTATTTGTTTCTCTAGCACAGGACAAGCTTCATTTGAAAGTTAGTTTTGTAGGAGATAATTCTGGGGGGAAGCTATTGCACCCCCAAAGTAATCCCGTTCCTTCCACCCTGTTTTCCAGCATGGGCTACTGCATCCTTTTTGTGCATGGACTGAGCAAGCTCTGCACTTGGCTGAATCGATGTGGGGCCACCACCCTGATTGTGTCCACTGTGTTGCTGCTGTTGCTTTTCTCTTGGAAAACTGTGAAACAGAATGAAATTTGGCTGTCAAGAGAGTCCCTATTCAGGTATGACTAGACAGATAAAAATAAATATCTTCCTGTTTATTTCTTTGCTTACAAATTGTTTCCAAACAAATGAGGTAACATGGGCCTGGCAGTATTTACTAAGGAAAATTATCTTTAATAAAGTTTTAAATGGAAGATGTAATTTTATGTGGGGTTTTAACTTTAGATTTTTAAAATGATATATAAAACTTAACATGAGCTCTTTCTAAGTGAATTTATGAAAATAAGGCTCCTGGGAAAGTTTTTGAGTCTGTGAATTCAGATGGAAACAGTTTTAATGATGAGCAGGGCTGTAAAATCAGCTATAAACAAAATGAAACCAAGAAGTGCATGTGAAAAGTGAGCACACAGCCAGAGGGAAGAGAAATGCAGTATCCTTCTTTAGAATATTCCAGCATGATACGCTGTGATCTGTGACCTAGTTGCTTTATTTTGAACATTAATTTTGAACATTCTTTGAGACTGCCATTCATGATGCTGTGTTTCTGGGGCTTAGTCAGCCTCACTAAATGCCGCAGCCCTGGCGACCTTCGCCTGGCTCTCTTGGCACTGCCACACCTGACACCCAAACAATATTTGCCCAGTCTTCCAGGAATCCCCAGTCTGGGCCTCTTCCAAGCTTCTGTCCTCACTTATGACCTGATTGGTCAATTTAGTCACCATGATTTTTTTCTTGGTTTCCTGATTAGCTGGTACCCAACACTTATTCTTTGGGGGCAAACAATTGAAGCAGAGCTAATATCACTTAAGGAAAGGGGAAACTGTTGGAAGAGGCTAGGAAGGCATACAGAATTAAGGGAAGTGAAGAACCCGGCACACCCAAGACAGGAAACAGGCATCTGGAAAATCCGTCTTGAGCACCCTCTCAGAAACAAACAGGTAAACTTAACACCAGGTTTTTGGATGTACACATCAAAGTCTTAGGAAAAGAAAGCTTTTTGGCTGAACTTAAGATTAGTCACATGCCTGCCCCTTGTCCCTAGCAAGGCACTGAGAGGACTGATCTGACCAAGAAGCCTCCTCTGAGTTCCATGGAGGGAGCTAGGGCAGGCAGAGCCCCTTGGGGTTCCACCCAGACTTCTCAAAGTGAGGCAAGAGGGAAGTTCCCAGCAGGAAATCCAAGCACTGTAAGAAGGGGGAATAATCTCTGGGCTGCCAAATATGAATGAATGAGTGAAAGAACAAATAAGACAAAGGTTCACTGCACTCTTCTACTATTTTAAAATAATGTGTTTGATTTTACTTGGCAATTTGACATTTTTTAAAATATAAAACAAAAAGTCAGTCTGGCATGCATGTCCTATTACTTTATTTATGTATTATTACGTATTACATATCATTGTCATGATCGTCATTATGATCATTTCAGCGGGTACTGTAGGGAGCTCAATGTAGAGTTTTTTGTGTGGATTGTTTTTAATGCATCTTTTTTTTTCCACACAGATCTGCAAAATCACTCTTAGATTCTGTTAAGTCCCTGTCATACCCCTTTCTATTAAACACGATTCTCACAGACCACAACAGACTCATTCCTTCCTTCTGCCTCATGCTAACTAAGGTCATTCGGTAAACACAGGAGTATTTAAGTTCAGTAATATAACTTCCTCCGAGTCTCTGTTGGCATAGTTTTTTCTTCCTTTCTCTTTCACTAGTCAGAGCTTTTACGAGCATCTTTAGAAACAGTTCTGCCCTGTGCTAAACCTTTTGCCTGAATAAAGGTACTAACAGTGGTTGTATTTTCTAATGATGTTGACTGCTTAATCAGAGCAACTTTGGGAATGGATTTTGGCAGACTTAGTACTCAAACCCTTTACAGCTGATGCCAAAGATGTAAAAAAAAAAGAAAAAAAAATAGCTGATTGGCCTTGCATCCAGAAGCTTCTATTGTTTTAGATGGAAGTATGTAGTATCTTCACATCAATTGATTTCTAAAACACAACCATTCCACATTCGTGCTTAAAGAGATTTTGCAACTAAAGAGGCCTTTGGTGGTCCAATCAAATTTTGTGTAATGTGTAAATCAAAGCTATTGATATTTTCTAGAAATCTTTGCCTATTATCATTTATCTATGTCCTGAGAAAACTTTTAAGAATCTGAGACTTTAAAAGACTATTAAGACTGTTCTTTTTCCTTCAAGGCCAGAACAGATGTTTTTATGAATTCATTTGTGCTAAGTAATGTTCAGGTCAGTCAAACAAACATTTACTGAGAATCTATGAGGCACATTAAGGTTAGTGGTTGGGTGCAGGGTATGGAGTTAGACTTTCTGGCTCTACTCCAAGTTCTGCCATTGAATAGCTGTGTGATCTTAGGCAAGTTACTTATCCACTCTGTGCTTTAATTTCTTCATTTTACAATGTAAAATACTCGTGTTTATCTCCTGAGTATAGTGTAAGAATAAAATAGTATGTGAGAGATGCACAGGACAGTTTCTGGCATTTGAGAAACGCTGTGTAAGGTTTTCAGACTATTACTGTGCAGTGTGTTCTAGGATGAGAGAGAGAGAATGTGCATAGAGGAGCTGGGAATCTGCATGGGAAGCAGACACATGAACATATTTCATTATAATATAGTGTTAAACCCAGAACACTATATAAGTACAGGTAGGTGGGTAGGTGACTAAGACCAACTCAGGCTGTCAAGGATCATGCTCTTGTAGGTCTGAGCTGAGTATTAAAAGAGGAGAAAAACCTAAATTAGCCGTAATGGCCCAAAACAGGAGCCAGCTGAGTGGAGTAAGAAAAATGTACAATAATTCTAGAGATGGTGATGCCCTTGGCAGAGACTCCATCTTCCCCTCTGTTCCAAACAATAAACCATAGACCATTCCTAAAACATATAGCCTCACTGAGGCCTCTCTAATTATGTGGGATGATTTTGCCTGACCATTCCATGAGCAATCTTACAGAGTATCTTAAGATAGAACTTTGTGTTGGAGAAAGTACAAATTTTGGTCAAGCTCCAGCCTTTCCAGCTGAGGCCTCCTTTTACACAAAAGATCCCACTGTGTGATGTATTTTTAGGAGATACAGATGCAGGGTTCCTACACAATTTTATTTTATTTTATTTATTCATTTATTTATTTTTGAGACAAAGTCTCACTCTGTCACCCAGGCTGGGGTGTAGTGGCGTGATCATGGCTCACTGCAGCCTTGACCTCTCAGACTCAAGCGATCTTCTCACCTCAGCCTACCGAGGAGATGGGACTATAGGTGTGTGCCACCACACCCGGTTAATATTTTTTTATGTTTTGTAGAGAACAGTTATTACTGTGTTGCCCAGGCTGGTCTCTACTCCTTGGCCTCCCCAAGTGCTGGGATTACAGACATGGGCCAATGTGCCTGGCCAAAACTTTTTCTATCAGCAAGAACCTTACACACAAAAAGCACAAGAACCCAGCACTTGTGTATTATCAGAGGTGTGGACAGGGTAAATTGTCTAAGCTGAAATAACCTTTACAGAAGCCAAGATTTGAACCCAAATCTGGTATAAAAATCAAAAGGTGCATAAACTTTGCCATTCCTATATTTTACATTGTGTTTTAACCTAAGCTAGCTCAAGTATAAGCAGAGAGAGAGATTTATGATCATAGCTGCAAGGCATATTTTCTTTAATTCTTACAGTAAGAAGCTGTTTTATGTGCTGAACTGGTAGGTGGATCACCGCATAGCTCTGGTTGGGCCTAGTGACAGCCCAGAACCCTACATTTGTTTGGAGTAAATAAATACCATAATAGCATAATTTGATTAGATTAAACCCTCTTCCCTCTCCTAATCTTCAAAATACCTAGAAAGGGACAAACATATTTCCTTTCGCATCCAGCTCAGGATCTCTCTAAATCCCATTCCTGAACTGTTTAAGTGATCCACAGACCAGCAATTAACATTTATGGCCTGGATCATCTTCCTACTCTGTAGGAAAAACAGTAGTTCTCTTTCCCCTTCTCTGAATTGCTGAGGCAGAGAATTTAGAATACCTCCCAGGGAAAAGAATATAAACCAGGTACTGACAGATTCTTTTGTAAAGGTCAGATAGCAAATATTTTAAGCTCTGCGGGTCATACAGTCTCTTTTGCAACTATGTAACTCTGATGTTGTCTTGGGGAAAAGACGAAAGACAAAATGTAAACACATGGACACATTAGTGACCCATAGGCTGTAGTTTTGCTTGCCAATCATATATACATTGTGATAGTGAAATTCTAATGTTACTTTGGTCTTATGGTACTGATTTGGTTAAGCATCAAATGTTGATCAACTTCAGGATTGATTCTGACCATTTACTGGCCGTGGCTGAAACATCTGCTCAACGATTTATTGGGTCTGTAACCTTACAAAAAGGTCTTAATCTCTCTGAGCTTCAGTTTCCTCATCTCTAATATGGGAGGCAGCGTAATACTACCTATTTGATAAGTTACAGCAAGGACTAAAGGAAGTGATCCATGGAAACTGGTGCTTAGCCCAGCACTTGATTTAAAGTAAGCATTCCATAAGTACTATCCATCCTGTGTGTGGCATTATAAAATCTCAGGTCAAGGCAGGGGTCAAAATTGAGGAGAATCACAAATTCTTCTTCCTTTCCTTTTTGCTAACCTCTGACTGAACACTACAAGTATTTTTTTCATGTTTGTTCTGCAATTAGGAATTTGGGGATGGTCCTCCTGACCTATTGTCCAATGATGCCAACAAAACAAATTGATGTTCTAAAACCTTGGAGATACACCTGATTAAAGTAGCTTTTTTGTTATTTATCAAGTCTTCCACAATAAAAGGTGTGAGGGAGATACGTGAAATGCGTGGATTTAAAATCCTGAGTTGAAAGGGAGATGTTTATTTATAATCACTGTTGTAATTATTAACAGGGTTTCGCGTTCGGCCATGTAATTTATGAATATTGTATTTCTCTATGGAATAAATATGGGTAAAGCTGGATGTTTCCATGATAATAACTGGAAGTATGAAATTGGAGCATCAAAAAAGCAAACAGGGAGACTATTCCTGGAGGGAAGAGTGACCTGGCCAGTTAAGTTCCAGGGAAAGTGTTGCCTTTGGCTTGTTATTTTCCTTTTTTTCACAAACTGTTCATTGTGAAATGAGAGCCTAGAAAAACATAGCAGAAAAATATCACAGAGAGAACATAAAGGTCAAAACCAACGATGGGAAAAAGCAGTGTGTTCTTAGGATTTTAGTGACTCCACCCACTTCTGCTTGCCTGTTAGGAACATTATTACTTCCTCTTACCATTATGAAACAATGCCCTGATCTCAGCAGAGACCATGTTTCCACAGACCCAATTGTCTATTCCTTGGGTGGGACATAAATTAGAATTACTGTGCTAATCACACAGAGAAAAGGATCAATTTCAATAAATATGCCAGTTGTATTCATTTCTATAATCACAGTTGCCTTCAAAACTTACTGCTACCATGCACTATTTAGTTCTAGATAGAAAAAGTCAGAAATTTTCCTTAATAGAAATTTGATTATTAAAGCCATTACTAATACGCTTACCTGGATTTTGCCAATATGACTAAATTTATGTTGGATACTATCATTTGAAAAATTATATTAAAATCCTAGCAACTTGTCATACATTTTAGTTGCTTTTTAACATTCAAATAAGGATATTTTATAAACCATAAAGGTATCATAAATGAAAGATAGTGTTAGTATTTCAGCACCCACCCCCGAAAAGAACTATCCACAATCTATACAGGAAATGCCTTTGGCTGTTGTAGAAATGCAATACTGTCACTTATGACTGGACCACTGATCCTCTCTAAGGCTTGGCTCTCTCTTGTGTAAAATGAGAGGAAGACAAAGGGAATGAAATGGTCACCAGGGATCCTTTGGGTCCTCCTATTCTGTGTTGTGCGAGGATTCTGATTCCGTGTACCATAGGAGTGACAAGTTCTCATTAGGCCATAAGGAGGATGTTTCCTTCTTGGCTACTGGATGCCTCTTAAAAGCAGAGGAAGGGACCCCATTCTAGTACATGAGAAGCATGAGTATTTTCCTTTGTCTGCAGCAAGTTTTGTTCAGAGAACAGGGCAAATGTAGATCTCATCTCATCTCAGCCCCCAAGGAAGCCAGTTCAGAGATGTGGAACCCCGTCATCAAAGTTTAAGTGAGTGAACACAGAAGAGCTCTTTGTAAATGGTAAAGCACAAGATAGATGCTGATCTCTGTTTTTAGCAAAACCTGGCTCCCCTAACAGGTTAATACATTGCCCTTCACTAGATATGCTAAAAAAGAAAAAAAATTAGCATCTGTACATTTAAAAACATACAACCTTCAGGCTATCTTATCAACCTCAGCTGGTGCCAACATTGGGCATTGCTGGTTCTCCTTAGGTATTCTCCATGCAGCCAGAATTTCATCAACACCATTTATGATATTATTTATCCTTCTTTCAGACAGAAAATAAAATAGAGAAAAAGAAAAAGGAAGCAACCCTCTTTATTCCATGTTCTTTCTTTTTCCTTTTTTTAATTGTATAAAATTAAGGTGTACAACGTGTTTTGATATGCATATCCACAGTGAAATGATTACTGCAGGTAAGCAATTTAACATATCCATTATCTTCCATAGTTACCTGTTTTTTCTTTTTTGTATTAATAGTAAGGGCACCTAAAATCTACTCTCTTTGCAGACTTAAAATATACAATACCATATTCTTAGCTATAGCCCTCTTTTTGTAGATGGGATCTCTAGACTTAGTCATCTACATAACTGCAAATTTGTACCCTTGGACCTATATCTCTTCATTTCCTCTCCTTGCCACACCTACTAACCATTATTCTATTCTCGTTTTCTCTGTGTTCAATTTCATTTATTAAGATTTCACATATAGGTAAGATCATGCAGTATTTTTCTTTCTGCGTCTGGCTTTACTTAGCATAGTGTCCCTCAGGTTCACTCATATTGTTGCAAATGGCAGTATCTCTTTTTTAAGGCTGAATAATGTTTCATTGTGTGTATATACCACAAATGATTTATCCATTCATCTGTCCATAGACACTCAGGTTGTTTCCATATCTTGGCTATTGTGAATAAGGGGAAAGCTCCTTGACATTGGCCTTGGCTATGAATTTTTTGATACAACACTAAGAGCGCAGGCAGCAAAATCACAAATACACAAATGGGACTGCATCAAACTAAAAAACTTCCACACAGCAAAGGAAACAAGCAAAAAAGTGAAAAGACAGCCTGTGGATTGGGATGAAATATTTGCAAACTGTATATCCAATAAGGGGTTAATATCCAAAATATGTAAGCAACCCATACAACTAAATTGCAAAACAGACCCCACAACTAATCTGATTCAAAATGAGCAAAGGACCTGAATGATATCTTTGAAAAGAAGACAAGCAAATGGTCAACAGGTGTATGAAAAGGTGCTCAGCATCACTAATCATCAGGGAAACGCAGATCAAAACCATGATG
This sequence comes from Homo sapiens, assembly GCF_000001405.40. NCBI lineage: Eukaryota > Metazoa > Chordata > Mammalia > Primates > Hominidae > Homo > Homo sapiens. Next base: position 29,575,960 of record NC_000012.12, on the reverse strand, counting down.
ACGTATTACCCCACAACTGTTACGACGGCTATTGTCATAAACACAAGAGATAACAAGTGTTGGAGTGGATGTGGAGAAAAGGGAACCTTTGTACATTGTTGGTGGGAATGTATGTTGGTCCAGCCATTATGCAAAACAATATGGAGGGTCCTCAAGAAATTAAAAATAGAATTACCATGTGATCCAGCAATCCGTCCTCGGGTATTTACCCAAAGGAAATGAAATCAGTATCTCAAAGAGATATCTGCACTCCCATGTTCACTGTGGTGCGTTTTAAATCTCTGAAGCAGCTGTAAGTGTGGGGTCTGCTGCTTTCAGATGGTCTGTTTCTTTTGGCTGTTCTCTGGCTTCACAGATGCCCATCAGATCCCTCCTCTGGAGAGGTCCTCAAGCTCCCAGCCAGTGGATTTTAGTGGGGCAGTCTTTGCTCAGTTCTCGGGGGCTGTTATTTTAAAAAGCTCAACAAAAGTTGAGGTAGGGGTGGCGCCCATATAAAACGAGGAAGTATGCCTTAACATACTTCCCCAACGGCTTTAACACATTGTATGGAATTCTCCTCTTAATCTGACCTTGAAATTAAAAACTAAATGTAAATATGTAATCTGAGAGAGTTAGTGCATTAAAATACAACTGCCCAGAAACTAGGTTCTCATCCTGAAGTCCTTCCTCTCTCTCATCAGTTGTCTGCCTGTCTCATTTAATCCAAATAAGTTGCAGGAATTTTCTTCCAAATAGCCTTCAAATCCATCTGTCTATATTTTATCATTCCCCCTGCCACCTTCCTTCAGGTGAGGGAACAGAAACTCTAGAACCAAACTCCTCGGGTCCAAGTCCCATCCCTACCACTTGCTAGCTGTGTGATCTTGTGGACATTGTTTCTGAAGCAGCTACAAAGGATAAAACAATCCCTTCCTGCTCCCACCCCTCCTCGTATCATCTTCAAATTGTTGGTATCACCCCAGGCAGATGGGCCCCAGGGTAGACAAGCATCAGGCAGAAAGTAAACCCTGTAGGCACAGCCACTCAGTGGTATTTGGACAGCCTTATTCTTGCTGCTGGCCCTCCCTCATGATTAAGAGCTTGGGCTTTGGTGATTGATAAGGACTGAATGTTTGCATCCCTTCAAATTCATATATTGAAGCTGTAACCTCCAGTTTCACTGTATCTGGATATAGGGCCTGTGAGGAAGTGATGAGGGTTAAATGTGGTCACAAGGGTGAGGCCCTAATCCAGTAGGGGTGGTGCCCGTATAAAACAAGGAAGAGGCACCAGAGCTTTCTCTGTCTGTGTGCACACTCCGAGGAATGCCATATGGGTCATAGCTAGAATGTGACCATCTGCGAGGCAGGAAGAGAACCCTCATCAGAAACCGAATCAGCCATAACTTTGATCTTGAACTTCTAGCCTCCAGAACTGTGAGAAATAAATGTCAATAAATGTCTGTTGTTTAAGCCACCCAGTCTATGGGTTTTGTGTTTTGTTATGGCAGCCTGAGATGACCAGTACAGTGACCATTTAAACAAGGTTTTTAATGTCTCTGAGAAAAGCCTCATTTTCTTATCTGTAGAATAATTATACCTGCATTTGAAAAACAAAAAAAACTGGCCCAGGCTTAGTATAGGGAAAGGTTAATTTCCAACAAAACTTATTGGTAGGGAGGCCAGTCTATAGTGATCCTTTTTGTAATGATTTATTTTGGTAGACAATCTCAATTTTAAAAAAAGAAGAAGAAGGAAATCTATAAGTGAATGAATGAATGGAGGAAGGAAAAAACTGAATCGACATGAACATGCAGGGCTATTCTCCAAAGAATCAGCCATCACCTTGTCCTGCCACCTGCCACCTCTGCTTCCTGGATGTCTCCCGAATCCTTCTGTTCCTCCCTATGGCCCCTGCTGAAATTCTGACTATTATCTTTCTCTCATCTTCTTTCTGCTCCACTCCCATCCCCTCCCTTTCCACTTCCTCCCTTTCCCTCTCCTCTCCTCTCTGAGGTTCCTCAGTAGTCCCCCAGGAGGTCTCCATGCACTGCAGCCAGAAGACTGCTCAGTCCTTCTCTTTTGCTACCCTGTCCCTCACTTTTCTGTTGGAGACTTTGCACTGATTCTCTGCTGCTCTTCAGATAACCCCCTGAGAAGTCTCCAGTGTGACTCACAGGGCCCGTTAGACTCTCTCCACGCTAAGACTTAGCATGATCCAGCGACTCTGAATTTCTTCCAGTCCCTCAAAAGCCCCATGCTCTGTTTTCTTGGGGTCCTCTGCATAGGACCTCCTGCTGCCTCTTCCTCCAGAGGCTAATTTCATTTCTTCTTATCCTTAAAGTCTAAGCTTCACCTTCACTGCCTTCTGGAAGCCTCCTCTTGATCCCATTCTGGGATAAGCATGCTGTGCTTCCTTGATACCCTGCTCACCTATTGTTACATGTCATCTTGTAATCCCCTCCTCCTACTTCTTCACCCTCATAAACTCCCTGAGGGCTGGGACTCTAACCATATTGTATCCCCAGCACCTGGCACAGTGTGTGGTACTGAAGGGACACTATGTAGATGATAAACAACTGTACCATTTACTTCAGCTTAGAGAAATGCTTGCAAACTGATTTCATCAAACGATCTCACTTCTGGAATTGATCCTTTTTAATGATTCTGCTTGGGCCTGCATTAACTTTTGCCTTTTTTCCACCACTTTCATTCATACAGATTATGTGAGGGCCTGGCATGTCATAATCAACTCAAATAAGCCTGACTTTATCACCCTCCATTGTTGAGTAACTAAGGGCCTTTCTGAGTCCCCATGTATACTCCTAGATCTGGAATGTGTTTTCCTTTCAACACAGCACCCCCGAGTACTGTGCAATACCAAGGAGGAAGCGATGACCTTGTAGATGCGAGGGGAGCGAGAGAGAGTCTTTCACACTAACCAGTTGCATGGGTTTCCACATTGAAGGAAACAAGAATGGCAAGAAAGAATAAAGAGAAAGAAGACAGAGAATAGAGGACACTGCATGTTACATCTCATGTTTTGTAGAGCAGGTTGTGGTTATGAGCTATTCTCATTTTATGAAAACCATTAAATCTTTTTTTTCCTCTGGTTCTTTATTGTTCACTCAGAGATCACTTAGGGTATTTCATCAAGTCTCCATGAAAAAGAAGGCTGCTCCAGAGACAGATGCAAAAGGAAGAAACGGCTGGCCCAATGCTGTAATTCTCCCTAGAAGGAAAAGCGTTTGTAATTAGCCTCGGCAGGGCCTATCTGTGCAGCAGCCCCAGTGTGGGTGCATCTGCTCCCTGCACCATAAATTAGGAAAGCCAGATTGGCTTGTTAATTGCAAGGTTGTGTGTGTCTCATGTTGTACAATGTGCTCTCAGATATACCATTGGACCCTCCTATGCTCCCAAAAAAAAGCCTCAGGAAGAGCGACAGAGCCTTACCCAGACTCCAGCTGTGTCTCTGGCACAACAAAGGTCCTATGTTTATATGCTAAGGGCATTTTGTTCATACACAGTTAGCATGCTTGTTCAGCTATACATAACACTATACTGCCTCCATTGTTTTCTATAGAAAGCAACGTTTAGTAAATTATATAATTTGTAAATTTTGGAAGCCTTGTAGGCTACAATGCCTTGTTTTAGAATACAACGGACATTTCAAATACAGGTTCATGAAACTGAGTAAAACATAAAGGAATCTGACAATAATATTCTTTGTCAAATAATTCTTTTTAAAAATTTATTCATTTTAGGTCTGGAGTTCAAACTCTGCCCCACAATGCCAAGGTTCACTACAACTATGCCAATTTCCTGAAGGACCAAGGTCGGAACAAGGAAGCGATCTACCACTACAGAACAGCTCTCAAGTAAGCGCCACACAGGGAGGGTGTTGGCCTTGGTGCTTTAAAGACCGTTGTTTATTTCACTTGGCCCTCCCAGTATATGGAGAGGGAGTTTGTTTGTTTCTCTTGACAGTAAACTGATCCTTGGAGGTGGGGTAGCTCTTGGACTCTGAGTCTTTTGGCTCAGTGTTCAAGTCTGCTATTAATGCAATAACTCTACCTTGCGTGTAAGTCTTGCGTGTTTTCTTGTGAAACTTTTCATTGCTATACATTACACGATGAACTGACAGTTCAATATATACGTGCAAACAAGAGTTGGTTGTCAAAAATATATTGGTAAGTTCTCATGATATTTATTGCAATGAATTTTAATGGTATGCATATAGAAAGCCCTAGACATCCCATGCCTGAAACTATTTCCATGAAGACATTTGAGTATAGAAATTAAATGCCCTGAAAGTTGTATTAAATAGAAAAAAAATGATAAGACAATTGATTACCATGTTGGGGATACGTTAATTGTGTGTGTGTGTGTGTGTGTGTGTATGTGTGTGTGTATTAACATTCTCCTTATAGTCTTCCAATGGAAGAGAGAATACTATACATATCCTTAGATATGGCTTCAAGAGAAACTAAAAATTTAAGTTCTGCCTTACTAGCAGCAATCTGCTAGTATCAGAAGCGGAAGTACCCAACTAGCCAGTCGGAAGTACCCAACCAGCCAGTTATAGTTGCTGGTTGGGTACTTCCGCTTCAGGTACTCTTTTGAATTGCAGCTCTGACTTTCAAGATGGTTTTCTGTGAAACACCCCAGATAATACATGTACTTAACCTTCAACACATGGAGACATAATAACTAAATATAGCCTGGCAATCTCCAATTGTAGGCAAAATAAAGCAAGGTTAATCCTCTCTTTTATTAAATACTATGATGCTCACAGAAGCCTTTGAAGAGGTTTTTATGCCTCCACAGATTGGTTGCCTACATTTGGTTGAATTTCCTGAAACGGTTTCACTTTGGGATATGCTTAAAGTACGTCTACCAACCAAATCATGCATTTCATTAAAGTGTCTACTAGGATTGTCTCAAGGCTTATTTTGATAGTGTCATTGTTACATTTACACAAGAATATTGCTTATCAATCAAAATCTTTTAGACTTTAGGACCTGTTACTTAATATTTAATATGGCAAATATGGCAGAAGTTGGTTTTGTTTTTGTGTGTGTGTTTTGGCGGGGGGGGGGGGTGTTTCTGTTTTTTTTGTTTTGTTTTGTTTTGTTTTGAGACGGAGTCTCTCGCTCTGTCACCCAGGCTGGAGTGCAGTGGCACGATCTTGGTTCACTGAAACCTCTACCTCTAAGGTTCAAGTGATTCTCCTGCCTCAGCCTCCCAAGTAGCTGGGATTACAGGCATGCACCATCATGGTCGTCTAATTTTTGTATTTTTAGCAGAGACCAGGTTTCACCATGTTGACCAGGCTGGCCTTGAACTCCTGACCTCAAGTGATCCACCCACCTCAGCCTCCCAAAGTGCTGAGATTACAGGCATGAGCCACCACACCTGGCCTAATATGGCAGAAGTTTTAAACCGTAGATATCAAGTTTGCTATCAAATATTTTCCCAAATATTACAAGAATTATAAGTTCCAGAGGAATAATTGTATCAAAGCTTTTTGTTGAAGAAGTTTTATATTACAGAATAGAAGATCATTTTTAAGATTTAATCAAGAATTCTATTCTTTCATTGGAAGACAGTTTCCAAAATGTTCATAATGCTTATCTCTGGTGGGTAAGATTATAGATTGATTTTTTCCTTTATAATTTTTTGTGTGTTCCAGGTGTTCCACAATGAACATCTATTCCTTTTGCAATGAGGAAATGTCATTTTTTAAAAGGCATATTCCTTCAAGGGTACATATAAAGTATACTTGGGCTTTAATAATTAATTACTATTTATCAATTTTAGATGGCATTCTTGAAGGGAGAAAAAGGGCAGTAAGTTTGCCTGAAACTTACATGGTTGGTAGGAAATGTATCAGTATCTTTTTAATTGGTTTTATTATAACAGACTATTTTCTGTCAAGTTCAAAAAGAAAAGTAAGGCAGACCCTCAGGCATAACTTGGAGCAAAGGTATAAATTAAACAAAATTCTCTGGCAGTTGATTTTACAGAATTATAGTAGCTGGTTGGGTACTTCCGTTTCTTTGCTGTGAAACAATACAAATAAATGTTTGCTTCAGCAACTGTGCTTCTGGAAGAAATATGTCCCTTGAGACATGGGGAAAAACAATTAAAGCTATAAATATATTACATATAGTAATTAGTGAAAGAGTTTATGCTTTCAGACTAGATTCAAAATACTTCTGGTTAAAAATATCATTTTTGTGTGGATACCTCTGTGGTGAATTTTCAACGGATGTGGGTATTTTTGTTGTTGTTGTTTTTTAAGAAATAGATTGTCACTCTTTGTGTTAGAGGGAAAAGGAAAATACCAGAGCTATTCATCATTTTGATGATTATTTATCCTTGGTAACTGGAAGATTGCCTTTATTTTGATGTTGCTATTTCTTTGTGGAAGTTGCTGAGACAGGGATTCCTCTCCCTCCCAGCTGCTCCACCTCTACTTCAACTTTAGAGTATCTGATGTTTTTCATATTTGCACACAGCAAGAAAGAGAGTGATTAGGGAAATGCAATGTTAAAGGCGCTATTATCTGAAATCAATTCCAGCAATTATCCATTACTGTTGTAATGACTGAATAGATCTCAAAGGCAATGGTGAAATTAATCATAAGGGCTGTACCTATACCAGTCTCTTTTTGGCTGGCTTACAATGCTAAAAATAGCACTATAATAAGTTAGTAATTATGTATGACATGAATATTCTGCTTCTTTTAAATTTTTTTATTTTTTGAATAATGCAGAAGTCACTGACTTCTCCTTCCTCTTTACATCATTTATAATATTTCTGTAGTATAAGGGAAATCTCCCCTGGAAAATATTGCATCTAAGGTCACGTATTCAGTTTAAGATTCAAATCATCAAAGAAAAATGTCAAAACCCTTTTCTTAAATCCTCAACAAACATCAAGTGTTAGCTTTGCTTTGCTGTGAGGGGCAGCTCTCACATTTATTACTCCTGCAGTAATAATAAAGCTTGGGATTATCTATGCTGGAGATTCAGAAAAACACTGACAGATCTGCCATAGACCTCCAGAGCTCTCCGACTGTTCGGTTACCCTGGAGAAGGTTTCTAACATTCTACCTTGTGTGATGGGAGTAGAAAGTCCAGAGACCACCCAACAAGTCAGCCCTTCCTACACAAAAACTCCCAAGAAATGCCTCAGCTAATAAGCCCCGAAAGAGAAATAGTGATTCTCCCTGAATAAAGTCAAGATATTGATGTGTACTTGGCCATGTGTGTACTTTGTCAAATACCTTAAAAAGTCAGTTAAAAATGGAGAATCATAAAACAAATTAAGCAAACGCTTGAGTATTTTATTTTACCCTGAAATTTCAAATGTACATCCATTCACCAATCTTCTGATGTCAAATCAAATCCTTCTCTTTAAGTAAGAATCTTCTGATTAGAATCTGCAAAAGCACCTCCATAATTCATTGCTATGAGTCTCAGTTTTGATATTTAAAACTGGAATGAAAATTTAAAGAGATTTGCAATGTAATTTGAGTAGACTGAGATTTTTCTGATTTTTCTCCTCCAGTCTTTTACAATTATTTCACTCACATCTAATTCAACAGTGATTTTTTTGAACTTCTTTCCTTTTTGAGCATTTTCAGAGCATTTACTTATTTTCCATAGAAATAATTCCTCTTCACACTTAAATTTTATCGCTTTGCAAGACCAGGCTCTTTTCTCCCGGTGTAACTAAATTTTGTATTGTGCTTTTAATGCTCCTATACAAAAGAAATCTCCACTCACTATTTAATTGCCTAACACATGGGAAGGGGTAGAACTAAAATCTTTCTGATTAGAATGTTTAATGCATAACATAGAGACTTGTTATGATAATAGTGCCTACTGATATAATTCTTTGTATTCCCTCCCATATGGATCACAGGAACTTTGTAAGGACATTGCATTAGGCTGCAGTACATGTATGTGGAAAAAGAAAGTAATAAAGGATTGAGTACTGAAGAGACACCATATCATTAGAGTCTAAAGAAATCTAACCATGTTTAATTAACCAATGTTTGCTGATGTCTTGAATATATCAGTAAGACTACTTTATTATAATTCCTTTTAATAATGCTGTTTATAAAACCATTTTCTGTCACGTTCAAACAGAAGAAATAAGGCAGACCCTAAGGCACAGCTTGGGGTGAAGTTTGAACATGTTTTAAAAACCAGGAGTCAATGAGTATTTTAAAAAGTCCTTCACACAGCCTATTTTAAGTGAACATTTAAGATAACTCTCTCATGACTACAGGTGGACTTGGATACCAGCTGCCATGTATTTCTGGGAGGAATTAAAATCTCAATACCATTTGTTAGCCAGGTTTAACAGGTGGAGATGTGTTCTTCAGCTGATGTGGTATTTTCATGTATAAAAGCTCAAATATGCTTTCTAATATCACAAGTAGACACGAAATTATTTTTGTTGCTTCTTGTTGATGAAATTACATTCTCAGTATATATATGCTGTGTTAATTAAATCTGGCAGTTTTATTCATGAGCTCAGGAAATTAAACATTATTTCATTTAGAAAAAAAAAACGAATTTAAGTCACATTGTGGCCATACTTATGAGCTGAATTTCAAAATGAAATCTCCATAATGTATTTTCAGAAAAGTTTCACTTTTTCTGGCTATCTTAGACCACTTTTTCATTTTAAAAACTCTCTTATGCATGGTTCCCCAGAAAACAGAATCCAAGGCAAAGATTTGCAAGCAGGAAGTTTATTAAGGAGCACCCTCGGGAACACCAGGGCAGCAGAAGAAAGGAGATGTTGAGTAGAATGCAGTTCCAGCTGAGGCCTCAGCTGATCCCATGGGGAGCTCTGGAACTGGGATGTCCCCTTAGAGGTGTCATGAATGGAGGCAAGAGATTTACTTTTAAACCCCGCTTTCAACCAATCGCTGCATCCAGGACGGGAGTCTAGCCTTGGGGAGGCAACTCCCTGAGGCTGAGAGCAATTCCCAGAGAGGAGGTGGACTCTGAGCTGCCAGCAGCCAACACTCCTAGCAGCCGGGAGAATATGCACTTCAGCCTTGAAGGGGAACTTTACACCAGCTGTGATTTCTTGTATAAGTAAATATGGCAGGTTTAGCAAAATAGGGTTGAGATTTTCTGTTAAAAATGAGAATAGGGATGCTGCCTACCTCATAGGGTTGGAGGATTACAAGATAATTCATATAAAAGACTTAAAGCAATATCCGTAAGCAATGAGGGCAATGACACGCTCAGTAAATATGACTAACACACACAGAATCTGACCACCTCCCTCCACGTCCACTGTCCCCTCCACCTCTCAGCTAGACCGCAGCAATATGCTCCTAACTGGTGTTGTGGTTTTCACCTTTGCCCTGCTTTCCTTCAGTCTGTTCTCAATACAGCAGCCCCAGGGATCTTCAGTGGGGTGGCCCAGCACTTGTGGAGGTCGAGATGGGTGGATTACATGAGGTCAGGAGTTCAAGACCAGCCCCGCTGGAGCCCCACTCACAGCAATCTGGAGCTCAGAAGGCTCCAGCCACCCCACCTCACTTACGGGGAAAGTGGGCGGCCCTGCAGCAGCCTCCATGCTCGCCCTGCACCACCTGCCCCCTTACTCCCCCTGACACACCTCCTGCTATTCTTCTTGCTTACTTGGCTCCAGACACACTGGGCTGCAGGCACGTGCATGCCAGCCACATCACCTTCCTGTTTCAGGGGTTCTGCGTTCTGTTCTTTCCTCCTAGAACCCTTCCCCCCTTACCTCAATGGCTGCCTCCCTCACACCCTTCAGCACTCCTCATATGTGTCATCGGCTTCTCCATGAGGCCTCCCTGGGCCACCCCACTGAAGACCACAAGCACCACCAGCATCCCCTGTTCCCCCTCTTTGCTTCATTTTTCTCCATTTATCACCCTCCGCTCTACTCACCTATCGTTTTGTTAATTGTGTGTCCCTCCTCTACCCAGTAAACTGCATGAAAGCAGAAATCTTTGTCCTTATCCCCAGCATGAAGGAGAGTGCCAGGAACATGGCACTGAGTAAATATTTGTTGAATGGAACAATGCTACATGTAAACTTCTTTATACTGTGGTTTTTTGTGTTTGTTTTTTGAGACGGAGTCTCACTCCTGTTGCCCAAGCTGGAGTGCGGTGGTGCGATCTCCACTCACTGTGGCCTCTGCCTTCTGGGTACAAGAGATTCTCTTGCCTCAGCCTCCCAAGTAACTGGGATTACAGGCACCTGCCACCACACCTGGCTAATTTTGGAATTTTTAGTAGAGGCGGGGTTTCACCATGTTGGCCAGGCTGGTCTTGAACTCCTGACCTCATGTGATCCACCCATCTTGACCTCCCAAAGTGCTGGGGTTACAGGCGTGAGCCACTCCACCTGGCCTTATACTGTGTTTTTAAAGTATGTGAATTACCTGGAATGTTTTAAAAGGTAACTGAGGTATAATGTAAAACCTAAATGTCGTCAATAGCAGAAGATCCTAAATTACGTCTATCTTTTCCTCTTCCTGAGTGCTAGATTGGCAAGGGGTAGACTTGCGATGGATAATTTCATGTCAGCTTGGATGGGCCATGATACCTAGATATTTGGTAAAACATTATTCTAGATGTTCCTACAAAGGTGCCTCTTGGATGAGATTAACATTTAAATCAGTAGACTTTGAGTAAAGCAGATTATCCTCCAGAATGTGGGTAGGCCTCATCCATCCCGTTGAAGGACTTAACAGAAAAAGACAGACTTCCCTGGAAGGAGAGAAAATCCTACCCACAGACTGCCTTCTGGATTCTAACTGCAGCTCCTCCCTGGGTCCCCAGCCTGCCGCCTACCCTGCAGATTTTGGACTTGCCAGCCCCCACAATCATGAGAGCCAGTTCCTTAGGATAAATGTCTCCCTAAATGTAAATATACACATCCTGTTGCTTCTGTTTCTCTGGAGAACCCTGATTAATTCAGATTTTCCTCTTTTACTACCCTGCTCATTTTTCACGCCTAAGGCTGATCTCTTCTTTTCTGCTCAAGGTTCCATAATTTCCAGTTTCTCAGAGCTTATTTATAATCCTCTGTTTAAATCCTTTGCTTCCTCCCCTTCACCTGGCACTTTCCCATTAATATTTAAATATTCTCTAGTTGCTCCTACCATCAAACAAACAAACAAACAACCGAGCCTGTCTGTATCTCTTGTTTTCCTCCTCCTGCCATTCATCTGTGTGCTTCCTTATCTCCTTCCTACCTTTTAAGTGTCAAAATTTCCCAGAAAGTTGCAATGTCTTCCTTATTTTCTCTCATTACTCAACTACATTCTGGCATCAGCTCCCTCCCCACATGTGAAACTGCTCTCCCCAAGTCACCAGCTACCTCCATGCAGATAATTCCAATGGACCATGCTTGGGCATCAAATTACCTAACTCTCAGCAGCATTTGACTTTGTTGACCACTTCCTCCTCCTTAAAGTAATTCTTTTTTAGCATCTGTGACACCATGCTCTCTTGCTTTTTCTGCTCCTTCTTTAGATTGTCCTGCCTCCACCAACCCTTAATGGAAGAGTTCTCAGGACCCTCTCCTCCTTCCCTACATCTTGTTCTCTTCTCAATCTTTGCTTTTTAAGGGGTTCCTTCAGTCCCAAAGGCTTGTTAGCATCTGTGTATATGCTGGTTGACCCTCAAATCTATGACTCTACCATTATCTTTCCCCTGATGATCAGAGCCATCTACCCAGCTGGACATTTTCACAAATTGCCCTCTGCACCTCAAACTTGACTGGTCATCTTCTCCCCAAAACTTGCTCCTTGTCCTTTATTTTCCTCCTTTCCATTCTCTGCTTCAGCCAGAATAAAATCCTTTCAGTTTCTCAAGTTCTGTTTGGTTTTGCTTTCTCTCCTTGGAACCCTTTCCTTCATCTTCCTGCTCTTACCCCTCCCTCGCACTCCCAGTCCCCTTTGTTGCTGCCCCTCCCAGTAAAGCATCGTCTCTCCTGGAAAAACCTTGGTGAATGTCTCAGGCGCCTCTCATTTGCCCTCGTCCTGTATGCTCCTGTCAGCTCCAGCTCAGCTTTACTGCTCTGTCTGCTCTCCTCACAGTGCATTAGAGTCCGTTGGTTTTCCTGTTTCTCTTCTACCACAGGGCGCTCTTGAGGGCAAGGACAGCTTTCTCTTTAATGCTGTGTGCCCTTAGCAAACGGTCTGGCACATTGTACGTGCTTTATACATGCTTGTGAAAACAAAGTCTGGACGAACATAATGCATAAAATCTCGATCACAGGGCTCTTAGAGTCAGAGGACAACTCCATAAGGACAAACAGTGTTTCTCAATGGCAGAGCTCTTGATATTTTGCAGAACAACTTTTCTTTGTGCAGAACTGTCCTGTGCATTGCAAGATGTTTCACACCCCTAGCTCCTGCCCATTATATATCAGGAGTAATACCCAGTTCCTGCAGTGGGTATTCAAAACATACCCACTCTCCTCCCCACTCCTCATGATCTCCTTACTTGGCAGTTATTAATTAGGAATATGAACATCCTTTTCCTGCCCACCATTGTCTCTTCTCTGAGATAATCCATCAACCAGAGTGCACTCATGCTAGGAAGTGTTAGTGCAACAAGGATCCCAGGTGCACACTGATCTGTCACACAGAAACCACACAGGATTTTGAATGTCCTTATAACCTTGGATATAGCTTTTTCAATTACACGTGTCTGGAATTCCATTTGGTCTTGAGCATATTGGAAAAACTTGGAGAAAATTGCTCTGGTGCCTCTGGGGATCATTTGCTTCAGATGATGAAGGATTGACAGGCTTTGGAGGGAGTGCTGGACAAAGAACATTCCTACATTCTTAAAATGGAGAGGGTTACTTGCCCTTCACATCTGAGAACTCTCAGTATAGGAGAAACAGATGGACACAGAATGACTTGAGTGTTCACTAGGTTAGTGATGAAGAAATAATGGGTGTAATTTTGACTGATGGGAGCAAGTTGAAAGCTATCAGCAACAGTGAAGAGTGTGATTTTTCAGAGGATGAAAAATCCATGTGAGGAAGGAGAACTGGCTGCTTCAGCCTGGCATGGGTTCATCAGGGCTAGAGGGAGCCAGTCAAATCACCCAGAGGTCCTGCAGCTGACCCCAAAATATTAAATGTATGTAGTGTAACAGGTGTGGTGATGGATATTTTTATACCCACCATCTCATTTGTTCATGTAGAAGCCCATTTATTCACAGAGAAGGTCAATATGTTATTAAGCTTACGTTTTTAAAGAAAGCAACTAAAGCACAGACATGAATTCAAACTCACATAGCTGGAATGCCTCTCATGGCTTCTGACTCCAAATCCAGTTATTTTTCCACTCCACCAAAGCAGTTTCCTATCTATTCTGCCACAAAAACCAAAGTTCACCCCAAGCCTCTGAGAAAGGTTAATATGTTCACCATTTCTATTTAAAGGAATAGAGAAATACTTAATTCAGTAAACTTCCCAACCCCTAGCAGTAAATTCTCAGGAATCAGGTTCAGCCATTTAAAATGATTCATTTCCTAAGGGCACTCAAGAGCCATGGCTTTACTCTGCATAGTCTTGGAAAATTGACTGGGAGGAGCCCTTCTGCATCACTGTTGGAGGTCATCCATTGTGCAAGGTCAGATAATTTAGCTGGCCCCTCTTGAAGAGTGCGTCACATTTCCCTGAATTGCAGTTGAGGCTTTTTCCCGAGGCTATCTGTAATGGATCAGAAGGAGTACGGTGCAAGATGAAAGTGGTAAAACTTATTTGCTAGGTGTTAATGGCAATTTCAAACAATTAAACAAGCAGACTAATAAAATGATCAGTTTTACTCAAGTGCAATTTAGTCACATGAGGACTTAAATTTCATAACATGAAGGAATCATGCACTTAAAATATGCCACAGACTAATATGGTTGGAAATAATGCTGTCACCTCCTGAAATGAAGTTTATTTTGTATATTTTTCAGTCCAGTGGAATTCTGGTTTTATGGTGGAATGTTTTTCTCAGTCATGTTTTTCTTTTGGACTCTTATTTTCTCAACAGGAAATAGAAAATAAACATCTGACCTTAGCATGGTTAACCTCAAATAAATTAATGTGTGGTATGAAAATCGGACAAATATACACACCCTGAAAATAAATCAGGGTGTGTATTCTCCGAAAGGAAATTGCAAACTAGAGCACATCATTCAATATTATTTGAACAATGAAATGCCATATACGGCACTCAGATAATGAAAAGTAAACAGCATTCTTAACTCTGGAACAGATTGTACAAAATTTAAAGTAAATAACTGACATAAAATTCAAAACTTGATTTTATTCACATACAGCTTATGTCTATGGATCTTTAGTTGAGGTTAAAGCTGAAGAAGGGTAAATCAGAAAGCACGTATGTAAATCTTACACACTTACTGGGTGTTGTTAATCCCAAATAGCTTTCCATAGTACTGTGCTTTTCAGAGACACCATGATTATTTTGTATGACAGAAGACAAATTTTTGCAGTGAAGATTCTGAGTAGCCAAACTTTCTGGGTATTGAGTTTATTTCACTTCTGCCACTGAGAACTAGTTCCTATAAGAGCATAGTTGAATGATTTAGCCAAAGAAACAACAAGATGAAAAGAATTATTCCAAATGGAAGCTCTAATTTATTTGCTGAACGTTGAATGACGAATGAAGTTTAAAAACAGATTTACAGGAGCCGGCTGCCTTCTTAACATTTAAGAACACAAGTGCTTCTGAGATGTCTTTTTTTTTTTTTCTTTAAAAGATGGGGTTTCACTGTCTCCTGGGCTGGAGTGCAATGATACCATCATAGCGCCCTGCAGCCTCAAACTCCTAGGCTCAAGTGACTTGAGATGTCTTTTTTTATAATCTATTATTTACTTAATTTCTCCCAGTTTCCCTTTCCTCAACTGTAAAATAAATAGTACAATAGTTCTACTTAAGCAGTTTTGAAGGGTAAATGAGACAATGTCTGAGACAGCACTTTAAAAATGTAAAGTACCATTTACACATCCTAGGTCCTCTGGAACTCATTTTCTTTTGTTCCCGCCTTCTATTTTTTGCTTAGACAAGTGTTCCTTCCCAGGGACTTTTTCCTATTAACATGCTGACATTCGTTCTTCAGAGATAAGATGAGAGGAATGATGCCCTTGACTGCCTACTCTATTAATTCTACTTAAGGAAATGTCACTAGCTAAAAATTAAGAACCCCTAAAATGCTTAAATGGATATTGTTTATCCAGTAACTAAAGTACCCAATACTTGAACACAAATTTTTCTTCAGCTCATAGAACCACATCTCTATATGTATGTTTTGTTATTTTTTTTAATCTTTATTTTTATTTTTTTGTAGAGACAGGGTTTCGCCATGTTGTCCAGGCTGGTCTCAAACTGCCGAGTTCAAGCGATCTGCCAGCCTTGACCTCCCAAAGTGCTGGGATTACAGGCATGAGCCACCTCACCCGGCCCCATACATTTCTTTTTTAATGAGGAAATAATAAGCTTATTTGTACCCCAGAATGATTGGACAATATAACTCATTTTCTCTATAATAAATTTTAAAAATGAAATTCATCAAAATAATAATAAATAGCAAAAGAATCTTCATAAACAATTCAAATGTTGAAGAATACTGTGAGAAAGAAAATCCAGTGAGTGCTCTTACAAACAGGCCTGAAAAATCACCACTGCTCCAGTTCAGCAGATCTTTTGTTGAGGTTTTCTGGACGGGGAAGGGAATAACCACTATCAGGACATTTGTAAAACATACCTGTAGAAGGCAAAGTCAAGATGGACTTAATTTATTCCGACAATTGATGTAGCAACAGAGACATCTCTTACATTATTCATCTTTCCAATAGAAAATTCCCTTCCTGGAGAGATCAGGATTGAATTAGGCCCAAGCTAATTCAAACGCAAATTTATTTAAAAAGTAAACACACAAAATAAATTTTGTCCTTGCACAGGTCTGCTGTACAGTGTGTGTTTTAAGAAAATATTTACATCTGTATTTTTCTTTTTTTTAGATATTTTTCCTGACCTGGTTGTTAAGAATCCTTTTCATGAAATTCAGCTTGGTTTCATAAATAATGCAAAGCTTGCTTGTGATTAGGTGAGCCTCCTCAGATACCCAGAGAGAGAAAGGATATTGCTAGCAGGTCCTTAGTATTGCCGGGAATAAGCAATAGCTACACATTTTCCAGGTGGAGGGCTTTGCTTGGTTATAGAATCAGCGAGTCCCTGTAAATATCAGCAATCTCCTTCCTTGAGGAGTTGGGGATCTTTGCCAACATAGAGCCTCTTCCCGGACTATAATTGGTCCCTCCTCCTGAGCATCACGTTTCTGCAGCTCCAAGTTGGTTCTTAGAGCACAAGGCATAGTAAAGGCCTTTTCTCTTATAGCGCTTCTGTTTCTCTTTACTTCTCTTCTTACTATTCGCTTTTGTTTTTAAGAGTTCAGGGTGGACTTGAATTCTGTTTCTGATTTGAAGGAAACAAAAGAGAAAGAGAAAGCCATTTCTGTAGTCAGTGACCTTTGAAATACATGGCTGTTCATTTACATGGCAGTGGGGTCATGAGTGAATATAAAATTCAGGAAGTTGGGCTTAAAACTTGCCGGAGATGACCGGCTGCTTACAGAGCAAACAGGCACCTTACATGGGTGAGCCCATGGTGGAAGGTCTTATTGAATTTAGCCTGTCCTTTCCTTTAGTGTTTTCACCTCAGAAGTTCATTTCAAGGGCTCAGAGCCTTAAATAAATAAGAAAAAGAGAACGTCTTAAGAAATTATTTCCTCTACGAAAAAGGAAGACACATGTCCCAGATAAGCTTTCTGTTACTGCTTGTTGTAAAGGAAATAAGGAATATGGAAATTGGCTTCATCATGTGCATGGGACAACCCTTAAATCTTCTGATGGTTACAGTGCTTTGCTGAACATACAAAGCAAACAAAAGCCAAAGCTTCTTTAGAAGAATTCGAGTCCTGGCTGTGATGTGCTCTGCAACCACTTCCAAAGTAATTCTTAGACACAAGCTTTGCGGGACACTTTCCTGGGCATGGAGTGAAGGGACAGGTACAGAAACATATTTTGCCCTCATCATAGCCTCATATCTTCTAAAGGCATCTCAGAGAGAGCACCAAGCACTTGTCTCCCAGGAACTGAAGTTGGATGTAATGGGGCCAGTATCAGAGACCCTTAAGTTGTCTATGCTAATTAAAAGCGATCAGAGAGAAGCAAACAACAGCGCGTGTGCTGGCTCAGTGTGCTTTCTGCCAGACTTCCTCTAAAGATCTCTCTCCTAACAGCCTCCAAAGCTTCTGTGAATAATTAGGGCTTTCAGGCTTTGGGAGGATGTAATATTCCTTTGAATTGATTCTAGCCCTTGTCAGTCAAGAGGAACATTACAGAGTGCCTTCCTGGAAATATTAGTTCTGAGGGATGTTTATAGCTGTTCTGTAAGGGAGTAGCGAAGGGTCAAATAAACTTAAGAGACTCTGGGTAGAGCAAAGATTAAAAAGCAGTGCAAATTGTCTTCCCTGTCCTTTTAATAGGAACCTCTTCTGTCCCAGAATTAAACTGATCTTCTTAGAAGGTACAGAACAGGGGGCAAGCATGGCATTTTATGGTCAAGGGGCTTGACAAGTACAGATCCCGTTTTTATTACTTGGGCGTTATCTTGGCATTTCTACATTAAAAGCCAGCTCTACCGGCTTATTCAAAGTACTCTGGGTGACAGAGATGGAACAAACCTACCAGACTGCTAACTATGTCCACTCTGAATATATCAAAAACAATTAAATTATGGAGCTGTGTAGATTTGGCTTCTGTATAGTTTTGAGTTTAGGAAATAAATTGGTTCCTTTCTTACCTTAATCAGTATAAATTTGATATACTGATGTCCACCTCATCCTCTTTTACATTTGCTTTTGAACATTAGGAATGCTATTTTTGACTTCATCGTACCTTTGGGTTTTTTTGTCTTTAAGTGTTCTAAGTTCTTAGTATTTTCTGTCTGAGACTGTACTAGGACAGGTGGAACCAAACTGCAGTAGGAGGGGGGAAATGAGATAAAATGGAAAAAAAGAGAAGAGGAGGCATTTTGCAGATTAAGTTTATTTTTATGGGGTGACATTATATATCATCCTTTCTCAGTCATTGCAGTCTTACCAATGCTCTAATCCAAAGATGTTTATGGGCCAGGTGTGGTGGTTCATGCCTGTAATCCCAGCACTTTGGGAGGCTGAGCCAGGTGGATCACCTGAGGTCAGGGGTTCGAGACCGGCCTGGCCAACATGGCGAAACCCAGTCTCTCCTAAAAATATAAAAATTAACTGGGCGTGGTGGCGGACGCCTGTAATTCCAGCTACTTGGGAGGCTGAGCAGGAAAATCGCTTGAACCTGGGAGGCGGGGGTTGCAGTGAGCCAAGATCGTGCCACTGCACTCCAGCCTGGGCAACAAGAGCAAAACTCCGTTTTTTTGTTTTTGTTTTTGTTTTTGTTTTAAAGATGTTTATGAAGATTCCTCCTCAAAGGATCGCTCAGCATCTGGTGTAAATAGTGGACCCTGCACAGGCAGCTGGTCAGAGGCCTCACCAGGCCACAAACTCAGGCTAGAAACTTAGCACCTGAGGCAAGGAGGATTTTCTATCACAAGAAGTGGAAAGTAATCTTATTAAATGTCTTTAACCCTGGTAGATCCACATACTATTTATTCTTGTACTATTTAAGAATTATTTAATTATAAATATGTGCATCCCTGCCCTAATTATATACTTTCAGCTGCAAAAGTCGTTGACCAGTAAGATTGGACACAAACCATTCAAGTACAAGAATAATTCAGTGTTTCATTTTGGCTGTTCATACTTGGGGGAAGAAGAACAAGCAAGTTGTGCCCAACTTAGAAGTTTTTGAACCATCACAGCTTAATATTTTTAACTTTTCAGGTTGTATCCACGCCATGCAAGTGCGCTCAACAACCTTGGAACACTGACGAGAGACACAGCAGAGGCAAAGATGTACTATCAGAGGGCTCTCCAGCTCCATCCACAGCATAACCGGGCTCTTTTCAATCTGGGGAATCTCCTCAAGTAAGTGGGACGTTTACCATCGATCAGGTGGCCTTGCGATTCCAAGAAACTCTTTCCTTCTCAACACTCATTTGATTGTGCTGCACTTGCCTCTCTCTGGAGCTGAATAATTAGGGTTTTCAGACTTTGGGAGGGTGTAACATGCATCTCAATTTCTTTTCCTTATCAGTCAAAAGCTGTATTTCCCAGAGTGTCTTTCTGGAAATAGTAGTTCTGGAAGATTTTCATAGATTGTCTCTAAAGAAGTAAGAATGGAAAAGTGTTACATGGTCAGATAAATTGAGAACATGCTGAGCTAAGCAGATTGTTTATTTATGGCAAGAAGCTTTAATATGCTAATATTCTTTGTGAATCTTCAAGAAGGGACTGTGGGATAGTCATTTTTGTCTTTTCTTTGTGTGTGTGTGGAGGGAAGGCATTTCCAAAGACAAATATTCCATAATATACTTTGGGAAAAGCAGCATTCTCTGAAGGTATAGACAAATGGTTAACCATACTTCTACCCAGTTTGTGTTGTAGGTGAGAAATAAAGTGGTGCTTGCTGGAATTAGTAGTCGGAATTAGTAGTGATGACTTTGGTGCTTAGGAATAATTCTCAGACATAACCTCTAGTGTTTGCTTTTTACTTGCTGCCCTGATAAAGGTTGATAGTGTGATTAAAGTTACTGAAGACTACAGTAAAGGGTGCTTTTGCATCTTGTGTGTTTATTAATATAGTCTAAGCATGTTGGTGATGGTCCAGACAATGATAGTAGTAACGGTGGTGGTAGTTATGGAATTTAGCTTCTAAACTTAAAAAAAAAAGGTTAACAAATATCAGAAATGGAAATTTAAAAGGTAAAAATGACCAGAATTGGAGCGTAATAATATGTTTATCTGTGCTTGTCAGAATGCTGACAATCCACATGGTTGCTGTTGGTGGGAGTGTAAGTTAGTTCAACCATTGTGGAAGACAGTGTGGTGATTCCTCAAGGATCTGGAACCAGAAATACCATTTGACCCAGCAATCCCATTACTGGGTATATACCCAAAGGATTACAAATCATTCTACTGTAAAGACACATGCACACATATGTTTATTGCAGCACTATTCACAATAGCAAAGACTTGGAACCAACCCAAATGCCCATCAGTGATAGACTGGATAAAGAAAATGTGGCACATATACACCATGGAATACTATGCAGCCATAAAAAAGGATGAGTTCATGTCCTTTGCAGGGACATGGATGAAGCTGGAAACCATCATTCTCAGCAAACTAACACAGGAACAGAAAACCAAACACCACACGTTCTCACTCATAATTGGGAGTTGAACAATGAGAACACATGGACACAGGGAGGGGAACATCACACACTGGGGCCTGTCGGGGGGTAGGGGGCAAGAGGAGGGATAGCATTAGGAGAAATACCTAATGTAGATGACGGGTTGATGGGTGCAGCAAACCACCATGACACATGTATAACTATGTAACAAACCTGCATGTTCTGCACAAGTATCCCAGAACTTAAGTATAATTTTAAAAAAATAAATAAATAAAAAATAAAAAAAAATTACCGGGCCTGGTGACTTGTGCCTGTAATCCTGGCTGCTTTGGAGGCTGAGGCACAAGAATCACTTGGGCCTGAGATGCAGAGGTTGCAGTGAGCTGAGATCATGCCACTGTACTCTAGCCTGGGTGACAGAGTGAGACTCTGTCTCAAAAAAAAAAAAAAAAAAAAAGGATGTTGGAACTGAATCCTAAACCCTTTATAGATTGTGAAGCAGTGAAATATAAAATCAATTGATGTAAAATTTTTCTTGAATAAATTTTAGAGCTGATAAATTGGCAACATTTGGATCCTAGTATACTGAAACATAGGTCTTACATTGGATTCCTTTCTGTATGACTAATAAATTGGTCCTATATGGGATAAGAGGAGCCTCTGAAAGACTGAGGAGAATATAGACTAGAAAATAAAACACATTCGGTGTGCTTCTTTATATGTATATTTTATTTCATGTATATATTTGAGACAGAGTCTTGCTCATTCACCCAGGCTAGAGTTCAGTGGTGTTATTATGGCTCGCTGCAACCTCTGCCTCCCAGACTCAAGTAGGTGGGACTATAGGCATGCCCCCCCATGGCTGGCTAAGCTTTTTGTATTTTTTGTAGAAGTGGGGTTTTGCCATGTCACCCAGGCCGGTCTCAAACTCCTGGGCTAAAACAATCCATCTGCCTCAGCCTCCCAAAGTACCGGGATTATAGGCATGAGACACTGTGTCTGGCCTGCTTCTTTGCATATGTATAGCACAATATAGGTTTTAATTATCGTTAAGTCTACAATTTGTAATTTTCTTTGACCCACCTTAATACACTGCTCTGCTTTTTCTTACTTTTAGTCTTGCTAAAGACTCGCTAACGTCTTGCTAAAAGTAAGAACATTCAACAGTCCTTTTCCATGCCCAAATCCCTACTAACAGTGATATTAAAACTAATTGTGTATTAAAAAAAAAACAAGAAAGGAAAAACAACTGATAATGAAGACAAGTGTACAACTGTGGTGGAAAAAATATTTTAGTTCTAAGAGGCTCTTTTTAAAAATAGCAAATCAAACAGTGTGACAAAAATTAGATCTACTTATTGTAGATAGCTAGATACAGATCATTATCATGTTGTTATTTCACTCTGCTACTTTTATGAGCACGTATTTCTTTATGTGAAGTTCTAAGGATTTGTGTTTTAATAAGTCATTGTTGCATCTGTATATGTCCTCCTTAAGAGCCCAAATAACGTACTGGTTATATAAAATCCTGTAAATGTCTTTTGGGGTACCTGGATTATATAGCGCTACATTCAAAAATCATATAGATGAGTATTTTACCCATAGAAGCCAAATATAAAGGCTTGGCTACAAAATGGCGTTTCTTGTTAGGAATGCTATTCTACAGTTATGATCATAATATGGTGCTGAATTTGGCTCTAATTGAAAATAATGGCAGATATTCTTATAAGTTTCATTTTGCTAAGACCTGAGCAAAAGATGGATGCTCTAACTTTCCTTTTTCAATTTTCATCTTATCACTGCTAACATCTTAAATTAGTACATGTGAGTTAAAAATGCATTTTGGAACTTGGCAATGGCTACTTTTCACAGTAAGAGGAGTTATTGGGTAACCAACACAGGATTTTTTACCCCTTCTCTTTTTCAGTAAAAATCAATTCTTGATGATGATCCAAATCAACAACAATGCTTTACATTTGTATAAGACTTTACTGTTTCCTGAGTGCCTTTTTTTTCATGATGCCCTTACAATGAGTCTTTACAGTGAATAGGAAAGAAGAGAAAACAAGCTCCTAAGAAGTTAACAGAGGTCCAAACAAGTTATCCTTGTTTACCTCCTCTTGCCTGTTACACCATAGAGCCAAGTGGCTGTATCTCAGCATAGGTCAGTCATAGAATTCAGTAGATTAAAATAATGATAAGAGCTAACTCTGAAAAGCTTTCCAGTTTACAGATAAGTTTCTTTTAATATTCATTATTTAATCTTTAAAACGATCTATTAGGAGATATATTGCCTTCCTCATCCCCATTTTACCGGTGAGGAAACCAAAGTTCAGAGGTTTTATGTGACCTTGGCTCAGGCCATGGCAGAGCCAGGATTGAATCCCTACCCTTGAACTCCTTTTCCTGTTCACTTTCCATTACCCACGTGCCCAAATAGCTTTCCAATCCAAACATTACATAATATTAGACTGTTTAATGGCATGCAATTGCCTTTTGGGAGAAAGGACCACCCTGCATCTCTCTTAAAGAAACAGCAAATTTGATTTCCATCACCCTGAAGTTATGTTGCTAAGTAACAGAGAGAGATGACCCAGAAAATAGCACTTAGATAACTGAGCTTTATTTCTGCTTACCTTAATACATTTCTGAGCCATAGCAATGGGTCAAAGGCAAGAAGAGGATAAAAACACTTTCAATTTGATTTGACTTAATCTGTTTTACTATTTATTCACTTTAAGATGTACACAATATTGATTTCTCCATTGAGTTAACTTTTGAGTTATTGAGTTAACTTTAAAAAATTGTATCCTTCTTTATAACCTGGAACTTAATGCTCATTCTGAGAATCCAAGTTATCTCTTTAGATGTGAACAGTTTATATTTGATAATCCCTGAGAGGAAGCACTATCATTATTCCTGTTTGATTAATAAGGAAACTAAGATTTGGAGAAAATAAGTAACATGCCAAAGTCCTTTAGTAAGGAAATAGAAGACACAGAATGGAACCTAGACCTGCTCTAGCCCTTCTGCCCCTAACCACCGCACTCTACTGCCTCCTTGTGGCCCACCTGAAAACTGGGCTACAGCCTGCAGCATCACTGCCCAGTAGAAATGAGAGCCATACATGTAATTTACATTTTTTTAGGTAGCCAGATTTTAAAACATTTTAAAAAGTGAAATTATTTTTAATAATATTTATTTAACCCTAATGTATTCAAATTATTTTAGCATGTGATTAATATTAAAACATAATTTTTAAAATTTAATGTGAGAAATTGAAAATATTACTGAGATGGTGTGCATTCTTTTTTTTTTAAATGAAATATTTGGAATGCAATGTGTGCTTTACACTTACAGCACATCTCAGGACAGCCATATTTCAAGTGTTCAGTAGCCACATGTAATTTGTGGCTACTATATTGTACAACACAGATGTTTATTAATAACCTTGACTTCGAAAGAAATATGAGTCTTTGTCCAGGCCAGAAGCTCTAAATAAGACGTGACTCTATCAGAGCATCCAAGGCAATCTTATAGCAACTCATTTGAATTCTTGGAATTATATGACAGACGGCTTCAGACCCATTCATAGCAGCAGACTTCACTGAGTGTTATCCAAATATATCTGGCCCCTTTTATGACCATTTCACTGGACTTTGCAGCTAATATGTCATGATGCTGTGCAGCACATTTACAGTGTGAGAGGTTGATAAGAAGCAGCTTTCCATGCCAGCATTCTTAATTTATATTAATTCTTGTTGGCTTTGGTTAGAATTTAAAATGTCAAAAAAAAAAAAAAAAGAAGAAAGAAAATAGGCAAGATTAGCATGAACTTTTTATGGATGAACAGAGCGGAAGTCCCTGATGGCTCAACAGAATATAATAGAATATTTAAATTCAGGATATGGGAAAAATATTTCTGTGAATGCTCTGTTAAAATAGCTGTTGGTGTTTATTACTGAAATGGAATATAAAAAGAACTTCTTGAAGAACCATGTCATACCTCCCTTATTGCCAAAACTACCTTTTGTTCACATAATAGAATATGAGTGTTAGGTAGGTATTACAATAAATCTTATAATCAAAACTCAGGGGAAAATGTAATGGAATGTCCAATAATTGAACTATATAGCAGATGAATTTGATAACAGGATATATTTGATTTACTTTAGTCTGATCCTTTAGAAAATTGAATATCTAAAAAATATTAGGAGGCAGAAATAAGGGTAACCATTATCTTTTAAGTGCTAGGGATATGTTTCCTAATACCTTTGGCACTAGCCACACAAACTTTTATTTCATAAAAAGGAAGTTGATACATTCAAGATAGTAGTTTTTCTCTACCTTTTAACTGAAGCCCCGGAGAGTAGACAATGCCAGCCACATGGATAAAGAAAACTTTTTAACACCCTTACTACCACATTAGTATACCAGCTTCAGATGAGCATTTTCTGCATCCTCCTCTTAGCATGAAATTCTATCCCCCACTCTGCACCCCTGTGGTAGTGACCTGTTCCCTCCACCTTTAGTTACTTCTAGTCCCAATCCCATTACACTTGCTCCCCTTCATCTTTGTCCAAATCATGTTTGTTTCTCTCTAGCTCTGTCTCCCTGCTCTTTTTTTTTTTTTTTTTTTTTTTTTTTTTTTTTTTTTTGAGATGGAGTCCCACTCTCTCCCCCAGGCTGGAGTGCAGTGATGCAATCTCCCTGCTCTTTTAAAGCCCAGTCCAGCATCTCATAACACCATCCTCATCCCTGCCATTTCACAACTTCTTGTACCTTCTTCCATCATCCTCAGGGACTTGAGCACCAGGGCAGTGACTCTCCATTGCTCACCAAACTATGCTGCGCTCTTCAGCAAGAAGATCCATCACCAAGTTCCTGTGCTTCTGTCCCTTCAGGGCCCCCCATTTATGCTCTACCTTAGCATTTACCAACATGGCCTGGCCACTGGCTTTTTAATTATGCAGACTTTGTCATTCTCTAGCATTTGAACTCCGAAATGCTCCTCTTTGAGCTTAAACTCTTACCTCTGTCCTCCCTTCCCTTTTCCCCACTCTCTCATTCCCGCTGACACTTTAAAGGGATCATGATTATGACCTGCCACCTCCTCGCTCCTCTGTCTGCTCAGTTGCCTTCTATTAAGACCTAAGCATCAGCATAGCTTCCGTGACAGGTGCTATTCTCCTGCTCCCTCTTTCCTGCCGGCCCTGCACTTGATCACTGTTAGAACCTCTCTTCTCCCTGATTTTTGCATTCATAATTTATAACCCTATCTCTAATTTATCTGATGTATTTCAGTAATGCACGTGACATCAACTTAGACTCTTTCACACTTTTACCAACATTTACCTGCCTGACAAGGCCAACCCAAGTTACTTCACTACCTGTATTTTGCTTTCCCTAGACCAATATTTCTCAATTTTTTTTTTCATTATCATACTCACCTCTTTTAAGGAGCTTTTTTAGATATTTTTTCTTATCAGCTTTCTCCCCAATTAAACACTCAAGAATAAGATTTGTTACATAGGATTGAGCTTGGAAAGACCCAAAACCATTGTAATGTCTATGATTATTTTTCACCACCATCATCCCCACCCCAAGAAACAATTTTCACTCCTGTAGAGAATGTAGGACTCTAGACTGTCATCCAATCTATCAAATGATAGAGGAAAAAAATACAAATCTGAGTTGAATGGGATCCCTACATGGAAAACAAAACCATGATTAGGGGTAAGAGCTGTTGAAAATTCATTCCTTATGGTCTTTTATGTTATCTCCTGTTTCCCTAATGCATACATCCTCTGTTCCCCTCCTCAGTGCCCTGTACACACACCCAGAAGACAACCTCATCCCTTACTTTTACTTAGAATATTCAGGTCATTCAAGGTGAAATATTACAGTTTCCTTTCTTTCTATCTCAAAATTTCCTGCATGTTCGTAGACTCCTGCTTGC
Source organism: Homo sapiens (assembly GCF_000001405.40). Taxonomy (NCBI): domain Eukaryota; kingdom Metazoa; phylum Chordata; class Mammalia; order Primates; family Hominidae; genus Homo; species Homo sapiens. Next base: position 29,549,632 of record NC_000012.12, on the reverse strand, counting down.
TTTGCTCTCCCATAGAAGAAAGCCTTATTAATATCTTGCCTCCTTCATGAGGCTAGTGTTTATACCTGTGTTTGTGTGTTTTTTTTTAAATTGAGGCATAACTAACATGTATTAAAATGCACAAATCTTAAGTCTTCAGTGCAATGAGTTTTGACAATTTTATGTGCTCTTATAATTATTCCCAAAATAACGTAGACAATTTCCATCACCCCAGAAAGACCTTCCATACCTCCTTCCAGTAAGTTTCCACCTCCCCTGAGGCAATCACTGTTCTGATTTTATTTTTTTTACGATAAGTTAGTTTGGCCTAGAACTTTATTTTAAAGTGATAATTTGGTATGTATTTTTGGCATCTGGATATTTTCATTTAGCACAATTTTTTAGTCTTATCCATGTTGTTACATATTACTTTTTATTGCTGAGTAGTATTCTATTGAAATTAATCTTAGATAATTTGTTTATCCATTTACTGTGGGTGGATACTTGTTTGTTTACAGGTATGGGTTATTACGAATAAAGCTGTTGTGAATATTCACTTCCCAATCTTTGTATGTTCATTTTTCTTGGGTAAATATATATTTATTTATATAAATAATATATAAATATATAACATATAATATATAATATATAATTTATATATTTAATTTAATTTATATATTTAATTTATTTAAATATGTCATACATATTATATATTATTTACATATTATATAATATGTAAATAAATATATTAATAATTATATATTGTATATTAATTTTATATAATTTATATATTTATATATTATATATTTTAGATAAGTGATATAATCAAGCAATATATAACCTTTATACTTATATATTTATATGTAATATATAAATATATAAATATAGGTGTAGAATTTGGGTGTTTCTTTAATGTTTTCAGAAATTACTGTATTAGTCTGTTCTCATATTGCTAATAAAGACATACCTGAGACTGGGTAATTTATGAAGAAAAAGAGGTTTAATGGATTCACAGTTTCACATGGTTGGGGAGGCCTCACCATTATGGTGCAAGGTGAAGCAGGAGCAAAGACACATCTTACATGGCAGCAGGCAAGAGAGTGTGTGCAGGGGAACTGTACTTTATAAAACCATCAGATCTCCATGAGACTTATTCACTATCAGGGCAACAACATGGGGAAAACCTGCCCCCATGATCCAATTACTTCCCACCGGGTCCCTCTCACAACATGTGGGGATTATGGGAGCTGCAATTCAAGATGAGATTTGGGTGGGGACACAGCCAAACCATATCAATTGACAAACAGTTCTCCAAAATAATTGTGCCATTTTTCACTCCATCAGCAATGGGGAAAGATTCATTTGCTCCATATCCTTTTGAACATTTGGTGCTGTGTTTTAGCCATTAGTGGTCATTAATGTAGAATCCACATGTGTTCCTGATTCTATTTCTCTCCTCTTCTATTACCACAGGCTCTCTCTTAGGTCTTCAAATTCTCTCCAGTCCACAACTTCAGCATGCCCCAGATCCCCCTAGGGAATCTTTCTCAGTTGAGGCGCTCCCTCCAGTTGTTGTCTTCACTCTTTGCTTTTGATCAAATTGGCAAGAAGAATGGTTAGCGCCTGGTGCTTCTCCTTTGCACCTGTTCACACAGCTGTCTAGTGCATTCACTGCTCTGCCAGCTTTTACTCCCTTAGTTTCTCTGCAGTGAAGAATATGACACTGTTGATCTCCTTCTGATTTTGAAGCTCTTTATTTCATTGCTTCTATCACAGTGCATTATTTTGCTCTTCCAAATCCAACATCTGCTCTTCTTCGACCCTTCCTATAAATTTAGGGACAGCTAAGAAATTCACTTCATATCCATTGCGTACACACATAGAGTCCAAATGTCTTAGCATTCAGGGCTTTCCATAATCCTGCCACTTTCCTCCTTATTCTTCACTCCTCTCCCATATTGTGTAAACCCAGACCCCAGCCAGATTGGCCATTTGTCAATGTATGAGAAATACTAACCTGCCAGGTTACATTTTAGAGACTGTGACTGAGGTTTTAAATAGAGAACTTTCCTAGTTCATTTAAAATGTGGTTTCATTTACATTTTTATCATTTCATGGTCAGTGGCTGTCCAAAATTAAGTTACTGGGAAATAACGAGAATGTCTATGTACTTACTCAAGATTTGGCAGTTGTTTGTATGTAAACAGATTGCTAATGATTAAACTATTTTTGTGAGTCCCTCTCCCCTACTGCAACTCCACTCATTTATACTGTGATTACTAATGAGTTGAGGTTGCGTTGTTTTAAATCCATCATGTGCTTTGCAAGGAATCTTCTCTCAATCTTTCCTTTTCCTTTTGTAATGACTGCAGTAAACACCGCGGAGACCTGAAGACAGAGCTGCCCAGGAAGTGCTGGGTGGGAGCAAGCTTTGAGGAATCCCCTGGTTTTTGTTTACATTCTCTTGAAGGAGTTGGAATGTCATCATTTTCCTTCATTGCATAAATATTTCTAACAGAGGATAATTAAACAGGCCAGACTGCTTTGTCAAGTGCAAGAGTTTCAGTAGTCTCCCTTGTCCTGAAAATCATTTTCCCACCCCATTCACCCTTTACAATCTTTCCCGGAATCCTTTGTTATCTTGTCCCCTTGAGCTCCTGTGCTGCCTGAAAGACTTGGGATGACTCAAGATATAGGTGAAAAAGGAATAATTTTTGGAATAACTCAAGGTGAAAGAGGAATTTTTTTTTTAAGAGAAAAGGACTCACTATGTTGCCCAGGCTGGAGTTCAGTGGCTATTCACAGGTGCGATCATAGCACACAACAGCTTCAAACTTCCAAACTCCTGGGCTGAAGCGATCCTCCTGCCTCAGCCTCCCGAGTAGCTGGGACTAGTCTGATTCAATTAAAAGAATAAGAGAAATGTGGATAATCATTGAAAATTTCTTTCTGCATACATTTGTCTTACTTTAGGGTACCAAGTGCCTGAACATTTTTTCTAAAGCCCAGTAGGAGATCAACTTTACCCAGACAATTAAATTTGGCATATAGGCTGTTAGACATAATCAAAAGGCTTTTAAATCTAAAAATGCTCTGTGTAGGCCAGGAAGAGAAATAGGAAGGACAGAAAGAGGAATATGCATGTTCCACCCCTGTCTGTGGCCTGCAGGGTCTGTCCCAGGAAGCATGAAATAAGGCCCCTTCCCTTCTTGGTGACTCCTTAGCAATTCTGCCAACCTCCCTCCCATTTGTACCCTCCTGATATAGGGCCCAGTTCCCTTAGTTTGGTGTTTTCATGCCTTGCCTCTTGTCTGCCGGCCAGCATAGCAGGGCTCTCTTCCCTCAGCTTTCTGGCCACCCTCCTCCTGCAAGTGACAGGGACAACAGTAACTGGCACTTAAATGGCACTCTGCTCAGCACTTCTCATGTCTCATGAGCCTGCCCACACCAGTTGTCTAGGACAAGCCCATCACTCTCCCATTACAGACTGAGAATCACGTGAGGAGAGAGCCCAGGGCCAGGAAACTGATGCCAGTGCTTTCTGCCACATCATGCTGCCTCACTACCACCTCCTGTGTGTTCTCCTCAAGACTAGCAGCTGGGAGAGCTTAGTGAGTTTGAGTCTCAGTTCTACTGCAAAATTACATGTGACCTTGGGAAAAGGATTTTACCTTGCAGTGCCTCCAACTGCTCGTGTATAAAGTGCAAATAATACTAGTAACTACATCTTTCATGAGTACTAAATACAATAATGCGTGTAAGTCCTCAACATAGGCCCTATTACCCAATGAAGATGAAATAAGCTTTAACTATTATTAATTATCATCAGCCCAGGGACATAATTTCTCACTTTCAATTTGAAACTCAGGTCCTTGGTATAAAATATGCAATGAATCAGAAGTAGATAATGCATTTTCTACCCCTGCAGTTGAACAGCTCGGGGAAATTTAAACTTTGCTGAGGCTTAGTTTCTATCCGTGTGTGTGTGTGTGTGTGTGTGTGTGTGTGTGTGTGTGTGTGTGTGACAGAGTCTTGCTCTGTTGCCCAGACTGGAGTGCAGTGGGCTGATCTCAGCTCACTGCAACCTCCAGGTTTTAGTGATTCTCCTGCCTCAGCCTCCTGAGTAGCTGGGACTACAGGCATGAGCCACTATGCTTGGCTAATTTTTGTATTTTTAATAGAGACAGGGTTTCACCATGTTAGCCAGGCTGGTCTCGAACTCCTGACCTCAAATGATCCGTCTTCCTCAGCCTCCCAAAATGCTGGGATTATAGGCGTGAGCCATTGTGCCCGGCCTCCATCTCTTTAAAACAAAGGGTGAGAACAAGTGATCTCATAGAATTATCCAGCTGCAAGAATCTGTGGTTTTAACTACAACTACAGGTTTCTGGTCTTTTAACTGAGAAGTAAAAGAAAAAGAAGACCAGAGAAGAACTTGAAAGTCCCTTTTCTCTCCAGAGGAAGTACTTGCATTGTAATAGCATCCTGCCTCTGCTGAAAAAAAAAAACCCATCTGTGAGGCTTCTGGTAGAAATTTGAGCTGGGAATCTTGCTGGAGAGGAGAAAGGAGCAAGTGGAGTTAGCATTTATTGCCTCCTACTATGTGCCAGACACTCGGCTAAGCATATCACTCATGTTCTTTTACTCCACTCTTACAGGAACCTAGAGAGGTAGAGATTATTTAATAATAAGCACATTTCTCTTTGGCCACTGGGGCTCCTAGAGATGAAGCATCTAACACATCATTCAACTGGTGAGGGCAGAGCTGAGATTTAGACCACCCCAAGCCTGAGCCTAAACCCAGGAACACGCATTAAACTGCATCATCAAAGCATCCTTTTAGCTATGGGGCAAATGAATCCTGACTAAATTAAGTTATTCTCAGCTGCCTTCCCTTTTAGGTCCCTACCTGGGAGCATTGTTTTACACTTTCCCTTAATCTTGAAAGGATTTAGCATATATATTTGCATACACTTTGAAGTGAAACTGGCTTGGGACTAGTTTATCCCAGCCCGCCCCCATGCGCAGAACCAGCCCTGCAGATGCAGAGGAAGGCACAGTGGGGCAGGTGTTCCACTGCCTGGGTGCAGAGCAGTGACCTCATCTGGATGACGATAGACACCAAGAGTCGTTCCAAAGAAACAAAGGAGAGGAACTCAGGACTAACATTTCCTCAGGACCTACTCTGTGCCATCCCCAGTGTGAGGTGTGTGTGTGAGCTGCATCTCCATTTCTGCTGCCCTGTGACTCCATCTTACCATTTCTCAGTTTCCAGGTGGGAGAAGGGTAGGATGGGGGGTGGGAGGGAGGCAAGTGGCCTATTCTCTGAATGTTAACTGTTAGGCCAGTGCCACTTTTGCGCCACTCTGTCTAATGAGTTTGACTGTGAATTGACTTTTTTTTTTTTTTTTGAGATGGAGTTTTGCTTCTGTTGCCCAGGCTGGAGTGCAGTGGCATGATCTCAGCTCACTGCAACCTCTGCCTCTGGGTTCAAGTGATTCTCCTGCCTCAGCCTCCCGAGTAGCTGGGATTACAGGCGCCACCACCACGCCCAGCTAATTTTTGTATTTTTAGTAGAGATGGGGTTTCACCATGTTGGCCAGGCTGGTCTCAAACTCCTGACCTCAGGTGATCTGCCCACCTTGGCCTCCCAAAGTATTGAGATTACAGGCATGAGCCACTGCACCTGGCGAAAATATTTTTTAAAATTCTTTTAACCACATAATATGAATCTGTGTCCTCCACACAGTTCCACGTGGCTTCTGTAGAAAGTCAAGCAGAAAAATTAGGGTGAACCCCTAGTAAACTAGATGCTATATTTCCATTACATTTCCCAGGTGTGCTCAGTAAACTTGAATCTAAAGGAAGCTACATAGAATATAATCTGATTTTCTTTTCTTTCTGTACAGGAAAGATAGTAGAGCTACAGAAACATGTGTGCTCTGTAAAGATCATCTCAGTCAGACGTTTACAATTTGACTTTCACAATTCAGTTTTTTAGAAGAGCTGGTAAAGTCAGTATGCCAAAAAAAACCATGATCTTTTTCATTTGTTGGGAACATCAATTTTGAATCCAACAACAACAGACACCCCGACAAAGGAATAGTAATTAAGAGGTCTGCCCAGCATTCCAAGTTCACACTGTGGTTAATGGGAAATTTTACTGCCACCAAGAGGGTCGCCAAATCCATTTATTTCTGTTACTGGCATTTCCTACGTTCTCCCCAAATGTCAATACTTTTTCAAAGCAAGCATCTACTTTCAGTTTAAATGAATATGTCATGAGACTTTAGACAGGAATCCAAAAAGTTCTCTAAATTGACAAACTTACCCAGTACTTAATTACTAAAAGAAAAATGTGGCGAAACCTTGTTTGCTTTTGCTAAATATCTGTCACTGACATGGAGCCATGAAAGTGACACGATGCAAATGTTTTTACTTAACACACAGGAAAAACAGTCCCAATGCTGTGTAACCAAAGGGAAAATTCCCTGTGAAACTACAAGTGTTTAATGGCAAAATTCGTACATTCTAAACAAGATCTAATTTCTACTTAATGTTTCTCTTATGAAATTAATGATGATGTCACTGGTCCCAGGAACACATTCTCGGGAATTTTTTAGCCTTTTGGAAGCTCCCGGGGGAAACATGAGAGAGTTGAGTTTTGCTGCAAAATATTAGGAGATTTTTATTTTTGTTATGATGGATAACACAGGAGCTAAGACTTGGATATGCAATCAAGGATATTCACAATACAGCCCCTATGAGAGAGAAAACTGCCTCTTTTCATTGCAGTATTACCCCAGAGTTCTACTCTGCCCAACCCCATCCTGCCACATTTCCTGGTATCCAGGAGTATCTTTCATGGGGCAAATTAACCAGCCAGTGCCACCTTTCTCTTTTGGTCAGATTGTCCCAGGGAAGTCTTCTTTATCCTGTCTTTTTAGCTTTCAGCATCCTATTATATTTAGCCTCCTCTGCAGGATCAATTGATCCATGCTAAGCAGAATCACCTGAGAGGCTTAGAATCCTAATGATTCCTGGGCCCCACCAAGACCTGCTGAATCTTATCAGTCCTGGCATTCTGCACTTTACCAAACACCTGGAGAGTTTTACGCACCAGAATTTCAGAAGTGTTGATTTAAGAGAGAAGTAAAGACAAAATATTTTAGATCACGGAGGATTATTATCAGTCGTCAGCTGGTGATGCTGTTTAGCAGTTAAGGAAATTCCAGATGCTGCAGGGCAATAATATTGCCAAATTCTGGAGCAGTTTTACGCTTACCTGCACTTTTTACCTATGCAGGGATCCCCAAGAGTTCCATCAGTGCCGGTTGAACCCTCTACCAGAAGCTCTGAGAGTCCTTGTTGTTCTTGGTGTCTTTAGTATCACATGAGTTCTTAAAGGGATTCAGAGTTTTCTGTGACTCCAAAATCAAAGTGTGTCTGTGCCTGATTGGACAGGATATATACTGATGTTCGATTTTATCTATTTTTCACCAATTATGGGCTAGTTAACTCTGGCCTTTCAATATAACTCAGAGAAATGACCCATGGACTTGGTCAGTTCAGAGAAGAAAAGTTATTTTAATATTTTTCCCCTTTGAAATTGACTTGTCAATTCGGTCTAAATGGCTAAATTAATACAATGCTATGAATTTAGGTATGATAATTATTAGATTAAAAATCTATTGTGGGGCCAGGTGAGGTGGCTCATGCCTGTAATCCCAGTACTTTGGGAGGCCGAGGCAGGCGGATCACGAGGTCAAGAGATTGAGATCATCCTGGCCAACATGGTGAAACACCGTCTCTCCTAAAAATACAAAAGTTAGCTGGGCGTGGTGGTGTGTGCCTGTAATCCCAGCTACTTGGGTGACTGAGGCAGGAGAATTGCTTGAACCTGGGAGGCGGAGGTTGCAGTGAGCTGAGATTGCTCCACTGCACTCCAGCCTGGGCGACAGAGCAAGACTCTGTCTCAAAAAAAAAAAAAAAAAAAAGCAACAGTGAAAAACTATTGTGGTATCAGAAACAAAGAAAAATTTCTCTGATGTGTAACCCAAGCTTTTTATGAATGGTTTGAAATGTGGAAGGATATTATTTAGGAGAGACTATATCAAAAATGGCACATTCTCCTTGGTTTTAAAAATTAAGAAAAGAATAGGTTTCAATGGGTGATTTTTAGAAACATTAAATGAGTTAATAATAAAAGCCAAAACATAGACAGTACCTACCAAGTGCCTGAGATGCATGGGGGTCAGATAATTTGCCTAAGGAAACACAGCTAGTAAGTGGTAGATGTAGAGTGAGACGCCAGTCCTTCTGGTTTTTAAGTCTGTGCTTTTAACTACCATATAGTGGTAAGGTGGATAGGCGGCTTAGCAGTGTGCTTGGTAAGGAACAGATTTTCAAAACGTGGATGCGGTGCCTGTGATTTTCTTATGATTCTAAGTTAGGCTTGGGCTGCTTCTGTCTTCCTTAGGATCACGTCTATAATACTTAAAGAACTGTAGAAACAAAATGTAACATGGGGGAATCATATTGTCACCTTTTGTCAAATTTTATTCAAATATTGGAAAACATTTAAGGAGATTTACAAAGATCTAGAAATAAAGAGTAAAACTATGGCTTTTTGTTTGTTTGTTTGTTTTTATTTTTTTTTGAGACAGAGTCTCACTCTGTCGCCCAGGCTGGAGTGCAGTGGCGTGATCTCGGCTCACTGCAAGCTCCGCCTCCCAGGTTCACGCCATTCTCCTGCCTCAGCCTCCCAAGTAGCTGGGACTACAGGCGCCCGCCACTGTGCCTGGCTAATTTTTGTATTTTTAGTAGAGACAGGGTTTCACTATCTTGGCCAGGCTGGTCTCGAACTCCTCTGACCTCATGATCCACCTGCCTCGGCCTCCGAAAGTGCTGGGATTACATACAGGCGTGAGCCACGATGCCTGGCCAAAACTACGGTGATTTTTTTTTTTTAAACGAATGCAGCAATTATTGAATTTCTACTCTGTGCAAGTCACTTTTCTGAATTGGGGAAAAAAAAGTAACATTAGTAAGATGTAGGTCCCACCTGTGAAGGAACTTAAAACCTGGTGGTCACAGATAAATTGTATAACATTTCAGCGAGTGAACACAGAAATGCCAAGTGTGGCCTCAATGGAACGGTCTAGATTTGAAGTTCTAAATTAGAGTCCAGGTGTTATCGAAGCTGTGTGACTGGGGACAAATCACTTGAGCTCTCTAAACCTTAGTTTTCTATTCATTTGGGATGATGGTGGTCAGTATTTTTGTCTAAATCTTTGAAAGGGAGATAATTATGCCAAATTTATAATGCTGAATGAGAATTAGAGTAAATTACTTAGCATGGTCCTTGGCAGAGAGTAAATGTTTAGGAAACAACTATTGTGAAATATGCAGCTTAAAAAACTTGTCTGCATGGCACATTCACTGTTAGATGGACCTGGATCCCCCCTCGCAAGAGGCAGCAGTAGGTTCCCCACACGTGCTTCACTAGGATCTCAGAGAAGAAAAATATAGATGTCAGAATGGGGCTTCTAGGTAGCATTTTCCTACCATATTTTTCCTATGATGATAGAAAAAAAAACTGAAATATCAGAAAGGTGATACATATGTATACATATGTTCTTCGTTTTCTTAAGTGTTTTTAGGAGCTTTGAGCTGGGCAAGTCAGGGAAGGTGTCTCTGGGAACCAGAGTTGAATAGGAAGGAGAGAAGAGCCATCTGTGAAGTGGTGTGGGAAGAACACCAGGCTGAGAGGCGGAAGACCTAGGGCTAGTCCCTTGTTTTTGCTTAGGAGCAGGGCAAATCATGAAAGCACTCTGAATCTCAGTCTCTAGTACTGTAAATTGAGGTTGGAGTCTATCCATGATTCTCAAATCTGGGTGATTGTCATATTCATACGGAGGGCATCCTACTAAGAGGCCAAGCCTCAGAGCACTAAAGTCTTTTTTAAAGCACACGCAGTGATTTGTAAGGTACAGTGAAGATAATCAATGGAGTAGGTCATTGTTAGGTTCTGCAGAATAGATGCCAAAGGCCACCCAGTTTCGCTGGAGTAGCGGGTACCTGGGTATGTTTGGAATGCTAGTCAGAACCATATTGTAGAGGGTTTTAGCCTAAGAGTCTATCTGTAGGTAGTTGGACATTAATAAAGATTTTTATATATGAAAGCAGAGGTCTAGAAAAAGTTCTTCCCGTTGTCGGCACGTAATAAAAGGAGAAGAATGAGGGAACTAAAATCAGATGTGTGAACCAAGGCATTAGCAAGCGAAACTGAGTAAGTGCTGAGTAAGACTGCAATAATCCAATAGTATTGTAGGACTGATTTTTAATATGGGATAATTATCAGAGAAACGTGCTATAATACAGATATGAAAAAGGGATGCTACTAACATCAGAAACAGTTTGAAATTAAGTTTCAATCTCACATAATAATCATATTACTATATAACCAAGAAAGGTTTTATTTAGATGAATTATCTTCTCTAAGTTATTGTGTCAAAGCCACACCTATTTCATAAGCTCCCACCAAGGGGTGAGCAAGAGAGACTATAGAAGAAATATTCTCTTCATTCCTCTCCCTTTTAGAAACAATAACAAATCACCACTTATCAACTTATTGGGCTTTCTTTAAGAAGAATTTAAAAATCTCTCTCAAGGTGGCATGTGATGTCTGTTAGCCTGACCTGTTGGTGCTTAATGACACTCAGCGGCTCCCAAGCAAAAGGAGAATCCTCCAGGAGTACACAGCCAAAAAGAAATGTCTTCTCTGCCAGAGTCTTTGCATCTTGTAATACTCATATACTAAATTAATTACATGATGAGGTGTTTTTCTTAAAGTCTGTTAGTCTCTCACAGGATTTTTGGAGATGATGTTTTTTATCAAGAATCTGGGTTCTTGGTATATAATTTTGATGATAATCTTTCCATCGTGTCACATGAATGTTCATGGACAAACTCAAGCATTTAGGTTCATAGACTGTACTGAATGGTCATCTTGCTAAGCTCACATGTAAAAGGTCTAAGTTTCCATTCTAACTGATATGAGCCACGACAAAAGAAAACCATTAAGTCATTGCTATGAAGATGTTATGGGTTTTTTTTTCTCTCCTGATTTGAAGAATATCTAAGCTAAATTATATCCCAAGGGACTTAATTTTCAGCCTTAATTTTCAAAGTCCATACCTTCCTTTGGACTTTGAGAGGATTTCCAAATTAATGTTATTAAAGATTTATGCATTTTTGGAGGAAGAGTTCTGCTGACCATAAGATAATAGCCAAATTAGTGGGATACAAAAATACATTTCATTTAAAAAACATGTGCCAATGGAAGAATTACATGAAGGTATATTATAGAATAGAAACTTGAGTGTATGTAAACGTAGTGTGTGTATGGAAGTCATGGAGTCTTGTGGGTACTCTTTAAATGTCCACGAAATGAGTGAATCAATAATAAAGCACTAAGCGAGCTGTAATACAAATTAATTATAACCATGCAACTTGAAAGCCATCCCAAGGACAATCCACTTAAGGACATGGGTGTTATACCTGTTCTCAAGGATGGGACTTTGCATGAACAAGAGCCCATTAGGAGTTAGATAGACCCTAATAAGAAGAGGATAGTGCAGACCACCACCTCTCCTGAGAAACAGCTAAGTGCTTGACATATAATCGATAATGATAAATATTTGCTTCATTGAATTGTTAAATCCAAGGTCTATGTTGGAAGCATGGCGGTTTTTTCCCCAAGGTCTATGATAGTTGAAATTGCCTTATGTAACAAGCTGCTTCTAACACTTAAGAACTCAAACTTATGGAGTGAATATTAGTTTTCCCTCTATGTCACTTCATCCTCAGAAACTGGAGCTGTAGGGCCGGGGCGTGGGAGATGGAGGGGATTGTATCAGGAGCTACGGTCACCTGCCTTTGATACCTCATGGGACAGTTCTGCTGAAATCGCAGCATGCATACAGATCACCTGGGAATCTTTTGAAACTGAAGGATCAGATTCAGTAGGTCTGGATGGGGCCTGAGATATTGTGCATTTCTCACAGGCTCCAAGGTGATGTTGCTGAAACAGGTCTATGAATCACACTTTGAGCAGAAAGGTCATTAGGGGTGGATTCCTAAGAAGTTAGAATCAGCAGATATGGTATGATGGAAGAGCACTCCGAAGACTGTTTATATAAACATGGATGAGTCACTTGACTTCCCTGAATTGAAAATTTCTCATTAGAAAAATGAGTATAATAATAGAACAATAATATCTACCATATGTGATTGTTGTGAGAAATACATTAATAATGTTATGTGAAAGATATGAGGGTATATGGCACATAGTCATTGCTAAATCAGTGCATAGTAAAAACACAAGCACGCAACTCTATATTGGTAACTGTTAAAGAGGAGGGGACCTTTAGGCTGTGTCCTTGGTATAGTGCAAAGGATTCTCTTTTTCATTGCACAATTACAATGTCTAGCACTTAACAAGAGACTAGTGTCTGTGGAATTGTATTAATAGCAAACTTGATCACTTCCAATACTGTACATTTTTGGCCCCAAAGATATTGATATCAGCATAATGACCCAATGTCTCCTCATTGGATTTAACAGGAAAGAGAACTTTTACCCAAGAAAATGGTAATGACTTTTGGGCCTTGAGTCCTCTTTAAAAGGAAGTGTCATCACTGGGGGAAGAACCAAATGAAGAAGACAGAATTAGCCTCAATTTTCAGTAAAAATATGATGATAAAATGTCTCATTATTCTTTACCAGCCAGTGGTCACAGTAGTCTCTAATTTCATAAATTATTTATGGAATATTTTCTCTCTTAAATATAAAACCAAAGATTAAGCAGTTTGGCCTGGTTTGTTCCTGGAAGGTACAGCCACCCTAGGAGCTCAGCCTGCAGTGGTGTGACCAGTACTACAGGGACCCAAATATCTTCACATCATTGTAAATTGGCTCTCATGCCACCCAATTTCCCCCAAATTGTTCCTCTGAAGATCAAAGTTTCTCATTAACAGACCTGCAAAATATTGAATATAACTCTCGAAGAGTGCACAGCAGAAAACAGAAGGTAGAAAAAAGTGGATAACCTGAAGCGTAATTTACATCTTTACATCTCTTTCCATGGAGAATTCAGAGACAGAAAGAAACTGTTAGCACCTTGAGACAATGTAGTTTAATTCATTTGCAATAAATCCAGAGTGAATCAGCTAACCTTTGCTAAAAGAAATGAGATTTTTAGAGTCTAATCAGAGGATTGAAACAAAGTGTTATTAAAAGATGTTCTCCCCCACCCCTTCATTATTATCTATAGGTCCCAGGAGAAAAAGGAAGAAGCTATCACCTTACTGAAGGATTCCATCAAATATGGTCCAGAGTTTGCAGATGCATATTCAAGCTTAGCTTCGTTATTGGCTGAGCAGGTAATTGTTTCACACAGTAGTTTTTTTCAATGTTATTGTTACATGTATAAATTAATGTTACACAGATTTTTGTACTAATGATTTAATTTGTAAACCCATATTGGACAACCAATCTCTATGTCAGTTTCTTTTGGACAGAAATTACAAGCCTAATTTTCTCACTCCAATATTCTCTGTGTATCACAGGTCGCTTTTAGACAAAGATGGTCCGTTATTGGCCATTGATATATTCTCTCTCACTTTGGTACAGAATCTATCAAGAACAATACATGATATTTGATGTTTTTATTACCACTTACTTGTAATATTTTTCTGAGGAATTGCAAGTGGTCTAAGATCGCTGAACTCAACATGGAGCAATTTGATAATCCTACAAATTCTGTTTTAACATCTGTTAGAATATTACAGAGGCTCGTGAGAGAGGCTCCTAAGAGAATAGTTTTTATGGCATAAAACAGAGATGAGTTTTCAATCCCCTCCTTCTTTTCAGTCGTGTCTAAATGATTTGATACCAGTTTTCAGAGTCTTAGATGCATGACCCCTGCTATGGAGAAACAGATATAAGTTGTCTTCTCTCTAAATTGATGATATAGTTTTGTTGACACACATAGTGCCCTTGATAGACAGTAGATTCTGCTACCATAAAATTACCAGATTATCTTTAAAACTCAAACTCAACATCTCTGCAACATGCCCGGCAGCATTCAGTTGGCTTAAGGGTAATAAGTGATTTGATACTGTATGTCAGTTTTGTAGGGAGCGATTTGCATCAGAAATTTTTGGAGGCTCCAGCAAGAAGCAAAATTAGGTCATTCTATGAATATTTAAGTGACAAAGAATATAAACCTAGTTGTTTTGCCCTTTCTCCCTGTAGGATAGGCGGGCTTTAGATTAAAAACCTCTGTCTGTGTTGGATGATTTTAACGCATGCTTTAGTATAAAGTGTGAGCTAAAATGGTGATGGATGTGTCTGTGCTATACACTGGCAGTCCTCAGCTGCCCTTGGCTTGTGTTGAAACAGACACAGAGGCTGGCTTCATCAGTGTTGCTTCATCTCACCTCACCCTGGACCCTTCCTTTTCATAAGCCCCTCCCCCTGCCTCTGACAGGCTGGTTGTTTTGCAGTTACTCAGATGTGCTAAGTGTGCTTCTCTCTCACAGCCTTTGCACTAACTGTTCCTGCAGCACTTCTCTTCCAGATAGTTATCTTAGAGTTTCCAAGATATTTCATATCATGCTGGTTTCTGACCAAATGTTACTATATCAGAGAGGTCTTCTGAGATGACCCTTTGTAAATAGGAACCTTCCGCAGCCCATCATGTTCTCTACTACCATGTCCTGCCTTACTTTCCCTATAGTATTTATCACCATCTAAAACACATTTATTTGTTTATGGACTTTCTGCCACCGTTAGAATATTTGACTCTATGAGAACAGCTATGTGTTTTATTCATCTAAGCTCATTTTAAAAATGATCAAGATTTTAATGATGTTGAACTTTATTTTAGTTCCTTCTGTAGTATCTTTGCATTCAGCCTTACTATTAACAAATTTTGTAGCAGATGGAAGTTTAAACAGGATAACGTATATACTTTTTCCTTACTTGTGTGTAAGAAGTGTCAGATGGCTTATTTAAAATTGATTACTTGATAAATTTAATCTTTTGTGAACTGCAGTGGCAAATTGCTATCAAGTTATTGCATTTTACATAGTTGAAGTTGTGAACAATTGTTAAGAACAACAAATGATGACTAGGATCATTATCTTTTCTTACACACAAAGGTCCCATCTTTTAGCACTTTTCTGTTCTAGATGTGAATGTAAAATGATGTGAGATATAAGAATGGAACTGAAAGATTGAAAAGTTCTTTCTTCTGCCCCTTTGGGCATGAAAACAATGAAGCAGCTGTTGAGCATAACTCAGGACTGCCTTCCCCTCTCTGACTTTCAACATCCTATCTTCATGTTTTTAACTATTTAGTCATAAAAGAGTGCATCAGATGTGCAAGCAAGACACAAACTGTTAGAGAAAAACCCACCTAGCTTAACATTTTTTGGTAGCAAATGAATTCATTTCTTGGTTGCACAACTTTATTTAACAGCATCCTGGCATTTCAAACACCCAGAGTGTATGAAATCAGTATTGACAAACCTTGGGCAACATGTAACACACAGTGAAGCCATCCCCTTAGTCAAGCGACTTGTCCTCCATTGCCACCATCCGTCCACATGCACAGCCCACGCGGACTGTGGTTGTGGGTCAGTGTCATGCCAAAAAGCTCTTTCCTACACTCAGCTGAAATCAGCCATTTTGCAGGCAGTTTTTCAGAAGCTGGATGAAAGGATTCATTCTGTATTTACATCAGCCTGACATATTCTGTATTTATATCAGCCTGACATTTCTGATTTTCTAGGACTTTTTAGTTTTTTTCCTGCCGTACAGTGTATTGACTACCATTTCCAGCTCTTTCAGTTGGCAAACTTGATAATAGTTTTAGTTAAATAACTAGTTTGTGTTTTCGATTTTAAAAAATGTTGTGAAGATCAGTATTAGTTAGGAAGCCCTGCAGCATATCTGTAGAACCTTCTTTCCAGGTTGACCTTTATCTTATGCCAGACTCTTTGGGTAAACTTATTCAAGCATTCGTTAATTTGTTGAATTATATTATCCTCTAGCTCACCTTTCTCAGTCTTGTCTACAGAGATGTTTCGAGACACATTTTCAGACACCTGCCAAAATCCTTCCCCTGATGTAAGGCTGCAAATCTATAATATCAAAAAAGGAAACTAGGTTTATTTGGTATACCTTGCTCTTATTATAAGCATGCTGCTGTCTGTTGACATCATTTCCCATCCTCAGTGCCAATAAAACCATGAATGTAGGATTTGTCGGAAACTAATATTGTGTTCCTTACTCTGTTGTAACCTGAGGGGAGAAATTTAATCTGTTCGCGCAAAGTAGGGGATTTGACAAATTTGAAAAATAGATTAATGAGTTGAAAAGACATTATATGGTAGAACATATTAAGGCCATAATGGAGCCCAAGTTTTACATTGATAGATAATAGGAAGTAACGGTAAATATCTGAGGAGAGCTTTCTAAAACATGTGAGGAAGAAAACCTTGTGGAAAACACATGGTGTATTTTGGAAAAGGCTTTTCTATGCATTCTGGTGTGAGTAGTTGAGAGCCTTGTTTGCAGAAGAAAGTGAGGGAATGGATAGAATATCGTGGAAAAAGAAAGATTTCCATGGTACATAGGGACTGTCAGCATGTAAAGGTTGAATGGAAAAGAAAAATAGAAAATTAAGAACTCCAGGTCAGAACCCCTAAGAAAATGAGAAGATTTATGGCCACTGATAGACGTGGATAAGCCAGACAGAAGCAATATTTTAGGAAAGAAATAAGATGAGTGTCAACATTGTTTCCAGTTAAACAAGTAATATAAATATATAAAGGAAACTGTGAAAACTCAGAGAAAATAACGTATACATCCTTTATTCATAATATAATACCTGGAGACAACAAATATTATCATTCTTTAATATGCATCTCTTTTAAATATATTTATGTGTTCCATACTAATATTTATACACTGTTTGTATCCTGTTTTTTTCACTTGCCATTAAATTATACATACTATTTTGTTTTTTCATGGTGCTAAATGACCTTCATAAATACCACTTAAATGGCTGCTTACTGATTTATCAAAATGATTTGCTGTAATATATGGTTAATAATATTTCAAATGCTGGGACATTTGGATTCCTTTTTATTTTCTTTTGTGGCATTGAGCTTTTTTTTCTTAGGGCTTTTTTAAAACAATATTTTGAATCATTTCCTAATGATAAATTCCAGAATAATTTCCATATCAAAGAATATATTTCATGAGTCTTGAGACGTGTTACCAAATTGCTTTCCGAAAGGGCAGTTCCAATTTACTCTGCCACCAGCAGTGTACAACCTTTAAGTTTTGAATGTTAGTGGAACATTTCAATGAAAATGGCATATGGACCAATGACAGAGAAAGAGATCAGGGCTAGAAAAATAGACCTAGGACTTTAAAAAAATGAAATCATATTATAAGCAGATAATTTCCTCGAGGAGAAAATGAAGAATAGTGTAGGAAAAAGCCCTGAAGAATTTTTTTAACCTTCTCATTTTACATAAAAATATATGGTACACAGAATTAAGTGGCCGCTCATGGTGATTCACTAACTTGCAGCAGGACCTTGACTAAAACCTGGTCTCCAAGCTCCTCACCTGCCACTCTTGCATTAGATGACACTGGGACCCCATGAATAGACTGTGATCATGGGCCATAGTTAATGAGGTTAGGCATGGAATGGAGTGGAAAGGAAGAAGAGATAAAAGAAACCCAGAAGGATGAGTTGTCATAGAAGCTAGGCACATAAAAATGTCCAGAAGAAAGTTGATACCACTCTGTGTCTACTGCATCAAAGAAGTCAAGAAAACTGAGAACAGAAGATAAACTCTTAGCTTTGAAGTCAGGGTGGTCTCTGACTTGCTATACTCTTTGTTCTCCATCAGCATTCAGAACTGGCTGGACTCCAGCTTCACAGATAGGGTAGTAAATATTTATAAGCCCACAATCATTTTTAACCATCCTACTCTTGCATGGATTATATAGCTTTGCATTGCAGTAGCAGTAAAGGAAATAAAATTAACATTGTTTATGACTCTGGCCACTGTAAATTATTACTAGCCCCACGTTGATAGCCTATTGAAAAACAATTAATTAAAATGATAACACTTAAAATAAAATATTTTTCCTTCATGTGCTTTGAAATATGACTTTACCCAATGCAAGAGCAAAAAGAAAATTGGAACAATAAAACATAAATTGGAACTCTGGGTCAAATAAAAAGTCCTGGGTCAGGTAGGTTCTCTCCTACAAATGCTATATTTGAGGTACATTCAGCCACACTGTGTGGGGCTAAGTCAACTTGGACGAAGACCCTAACTTAAGAATTTATTGATTTAATTACTGAGCACATATTTATTGAGCATCTAGATGCCACCAAGCGCCAGAGTGTTGAAGCAGCAAGTTATGTATGTGGTTACCCTCATGGAGTGTAGTATAGAAGGGAAGGCTACCCCTAGGCAAAGATTTATAGCTCCCTCCCCAATGTCTAACACAAGCGTAACAACTGTGCAAAGGGAAAGCACCAGTGAACATGTTAAGGGGACCTAACCTAATGTGGGAGAGGAATATATGGGTAGTGGGGATGGTTGCCAAAGGGTTACCTTTAATCTGATATCTAAAGGACCGATAGATATAAACTGGGTAAAAGTGAAAGGAAAAGCTTTCTAGTCAGAAGGAATAGACCCTCTAAGGGCTCTGAGGTGAGCTTACTTCTAATATGTATTGAGCTTACTTCTAATATGTCAACTTAAAATCATGAGATCTACAAATTTGGAAAGGAGAGCTTTACTTCTTATAATGGGTTGTAGCCTGCAGGCTGGCCACTTGCAGGCTGGGAAGCATAGCCTCCCGCAGAAAGCAAAAGCAGGTGCTTTGAAGGAGGAAGGGCAAGACAGGAATTTATGCTGAACGGGTTGCCTAAGTATACATGTTCAACAGATTAGAGGAGGAACTGTGAATATTTATGAAGGGGTTGCACATGCGTAGTAAGCAAACATGCATGTTACATACATCCCATGTGCACTTTGAGGTGGAGACACAACGTTTAAATGCAGAGGCACCCTATGCACAGTCTCCATGGACCAGCTAGAAGCAGTCCACAGTCCATGGTTTCTTTCCAGGAAGAAATGCTGGTCAGTTGCGTTGAGACCATAAAAGGGGAAGGGAGCTCTGCTGCAGAATGAGGTGGTTGGTTGAAATCAGCAGTGGAGCAAGTCTTTCAAAAGTGCTAGTTTCTGTTCAACTCTTAGGAAAGAGAGTCTAATGGTGGCAAAGGAGTGGGTATAATGATTGAGTGACCTTACCTCTCTGGTCATAGCTGGGAATTGAGTTTTTAAGGTTTCCCTGGGGTCTCCTTGGCCAGGAGGGGGTGTGTTGAGTCAGATTGGGGACTTAGGATTTTATTTCTATTTCTCAAGTAGAAAGAAAGTCATGTACCTGGAAGTATAGAGAATGAAGGCAAAATGGCATGAGAAAAGTCTAAAGTATCAGGAAGCTGCAATTATATGCAAATGTGGTTTTCACCTCTTTTTCTGGTTCCATGACTGCATTATCTGTAGTTGCTCACTTTTGTCACTCTTTCTCTTTAGCATTTATTGTATTGTTCTTGGCATTCCATCTTTAAAGTGGTCACTTCTTGTTTGTGTAAATTGTCAGAGTAGTGTTGATCACATTCTGCTGGTAGATGAGAAAATCTAGGATTAGGAAACACCTTGTATTTCCTTGGTGGGGAAGAATGCCAGATTAATTGATTCATTTTAGTTGGATATGAAAGAGAATTAGACATCAAATATTGATAGCATGTTTCTCATAAATGCTCATACTGATGACATATGGGTGGAGGAACTGTCTCGTAAAGAAAACAAAAGCAAAGAAGAGGGTGAGAAAACAGGTGTCTTTATCTTTTGGGCTGCTGTGTCTTGAATAGTTTCTTGGAGAAGTCGTTGACATGAGTTTAAAGATCTGTTAGTCCTTAATTTCCCAGGTTTGTAATTACTATTACAATATTACTTTTGTAATTACTATTACAATATTACAATGTATTACTATTTACTAATAAAGCCATTTGGCTAATAGGAATATACTTTAAGACTCTGTGGCTTTAAATTATTGATTAGAGTGAAAGCACTTCTAGAAAATCAGCTCAGACACATAGTGACCCCGATGTCAGGGCACTGGAAACATTTTTTTTTCTATTGGCCCTTTACTGCTTTGGAATACCACACTCTACACCTCTATACAGTAGGTACACATTGTTACAGGCCATCTGTTAATCTGTTTGCTAATTGTTGACTGGAGACCCCCAGGGTCCATGAAGGTTTATGCACTTTCCTAATAGTACTAAGAAGTAATTTGCCTTTTCCCTGTCATTATCTCATCAGTATACAGTAGTTTTCTAGCAGCCACATGATATATCCACAGTTATGAAAATGCTATTAAAATACTGTCTCCTTTGCCGACTAAATGTGCGTGTGAGGCCAGATTTTCTTTATATATTCCAACCAAATATATGTACATAAAACAGATTGAACCGACAGAAGCAGGTATGAGAATCCAGCTGTCTGAAGTCAGACATTAAAGAGATTTACAAAAATATAAACTAATGCCACTATTCTCGCTATTTTTTTTGCTTTGAAAATAATTATTTTTATATAAATATATTATTTATGTTTAAGTTTATGATTAAGTAAACTAGCACATATTTTTAAAGTTTCTCAGCTTCTTTTCCAATGTAGTAAATATTGATATATATAGTCCACATAAATGGAAAGTTCTTTGGAATTCTCAGTAACTTTTAGAGTTCAAAGGCATTCTAAAATTAAGAAGGTTGAGAATTTCTGCATTAAGCCAATGTCCATTTGTCATTTGAGTTATTGGAACCTGAACTATAAAGTTTTCCAAACACACGATTTGGCTCAAGACAGTAAATTACAGTCAAGGGTCCTTTTTCAGGACATCTATTTTTCACTTTTCCTTCCTTGAGGTAAAAAGTGTGCTATATTGGGTAATTATAGCATATAAAAAGTGGGGATGTTGACTGTGTTTTATCTCTCTTCCAAGGCCCATTTTATTTCCACACCACTGAAAATGCTTTAAGTCTTGGAGAGGAGCCCATGGCTGCATGCTGCCCATTTTTAACTGCTGCCCTCGAAGGCCAATTTCGCAGGATGGCTGGGGACTCTGGTGTACAGCAGACGGTATTAATATGTCACAACCATTCCCTGGGTCACAAATATTTTTAATTAAAGTTGTCCTATAAATAGCTTACATTCATTTCCTCTGGAACTTACAAGTCAGTAGAGACTAGAAATGATCAGGCTTAGGTCAGGACTTGTAGCCAGTTGAATTAAATGAAAATGAGTGCTCGAAATTGAGCTTCAGAGATTAAATAATAGTGTTATTTAAGATAAATGCATTACCCTTCCAGAGAAGGCGGAATTTACTTTAAACACCCATACAGTATTTTCTTCCTGGAGAAGTGTTTTGTTTTTTGTTTATGAGTAGAGTTGATCATTCCATGAAATTGACAATCAAGTGAAATGAATAGAAAGACAGATCTTAAAGACCTTTTCATAGAGCCTTGAAACTGCCATTGGGGTTACTGAAGGTGTAGGGCTGTGATTCATTGCCCTTGACACACTCAGTCTTTAGATCTCACTATTTCTTTGGATTTTGAAAATATCATTTCTAGTGGAAAATCAGCTCAGCTAATGGATGCAAAAATAAAAGAGAAGATTTAGATGAAAAAGATAATCTCTTTGCCTATTTTG